>NC_000010.11:80294610-80446125 GCF_000001405.40 Homo sapiens
TCACCCTGAATTAAGGCATGCAAACAATATTTACATAGTGAAGGCCAAATCAATCTCCCCGAAATACTTCCACTCCAGAATATCCTTTATCAGGAAAAACATGAAGCACAGTATCACATACAAAGACAGGGATAAACTGTGGCTATATATTATTCAGCTTTTGAAAAAGGACAAATAATAATATGCAATGTAATAGCCTATTCATAAAGATAAAAACAATTTTTAAAATTTTAGGAATATATAAAGATGCAATGAGATACAAAAAGGAAAAGAAAGGAGTGATGTTACTGAAAATGGTGGAGAATTCCAGGACTCCATTTCTCCACAAAATCCATGAATAAAGCAAAATTATCTAAATCAACTTTTGTAGAACTCTGGAATCCAGTCAAGAACTTACAAGAAGCTCAATAAAGAAAGAAGCTGCTAAATTGCCATAAAAGAGTGCTATGGTATTTAAATTGCCCGCCTACCATATCCCACTCTCCAGAGCAATATGACTGTGAAGACGGCAACCCATACCCTGAGTTCAGGTTGCTAATGCCACAAGGAAAAACATGAACCTTATTCTCAAAGAACTGTGGTTGTAGGTTTCAAGCGGCCTGTCTGGTAGCTCCCTGAAGGATTGGTGCAAGGGCTTGCCTTTGTTTTGCCCAACTCACAGCATTCCTGGGACTGGAGCAACTTCCCAAGTAGTGGCTTGCTGAAAGCATTTGAAGGCAAAAGTGTTGGCTGCAGCAGACTAGGGCAATGAATGACACTCAGGGCAAGCAATAAACAGACCAAACCTAGGGAAGAAGGGCTTGGGAAAGGAGATGCCTAGGGGAATAAGGGATTTTAAAAGCTACCATCTATGCTGGGGGATCAAGGAGATGAGGCACACGCCCAGGGTTGGACACATGCTCTGAAAAGGCCTGAGAAGACCTTAAGCACTCACCTCTGGTGAATTTTCAGGTTTTATGCAAATAGGAAGTGAAGGCCGTGAACCCCAAAAATCTGAGACAGGTCTCAGTTAATTTAGAAATTTAATTTGCCAAGGTTGAGGACGTGTGCCCATGATACGGCCTCAGGAGGTCTTGACAACATGTGTCCAAGATGGTAGGGGCACAGCTTCTTTTTTCACATTTTAGGGAGACATGAGACATCAATCAATATGTGTTGGATGTACATTGGTTCAGTCAGGAAAGGTGGGACAACTCGAAGTGGGGAGGGGGCTTCCAGGTCATAGGTAGATAAGGGACAAATTGTTGCATTCTTTTGAGTTTCTGATTAGCTTCTCCAAATGAGGCAATCAAATATGCATTTATCTCAGTGAGCAGAGGGGTGACTTTGAATAGAATGGGAGGCAGATTTGCCCTAAGCAGTTCCCAGCTTGAGTTTCCCCTTTAGCTTAGTGATTTGGGGGCCCCAAGATTTATTTTCCTTTCACAAGGCTAAGGCAGAATTGTAAATGGCCTTACAGTCAAGCACCAAAGAGTAACCTAACCCAGAGGCAACCTGCAAAGACTAGGAGGATATGGTGGCTCCTATCTTTTTCTTTTATTGGCCTAAGTCATTTAATGAAACTCCAACACTAGCTGACCACTAAGCTAATGGAACATAGACTTTATTGACCACATACAACATGCAGACTTTATAAAAATAGTTCAGAAAACTAATAACAAAACAAATATCAATAACCCACAATAAGCTACAGCAATACTGGGGCAGGGGGAATCTGATTTCCAGTGTCACTACATTATAATGTTAAAAATGTCCAGTTAACAACAAAAAGTTATGAGACATGCAAAAACAAAAAAAAAGAAGAAAGTTTGGCCATTCACGGGGAAAAAATAAACTAGTAGAAGCCTCCCTGAGAAAGCCTAGGCATTGGATATATTAGAAAAAGACCTAATTAGCCAGGCATGGTGGCTCGTACCTGTAGTCCCAGCTACTTAGGAGGCTGAGGCAGGAGAATCACTTCAGCCCAGGAGGCAGAGTTGCAATAAGTCAAGATGGCGCCACTGCATTCCAGCCTGGGTGACTGAAGGAGGGCCTGTCTCAAAAAAAAAAAAAAAAAAAAAAAAGACTTTAAGTGAACTATCTTAAATATGCTAAAAGTCTAAAAGAACCCATAGGAAAAGAACTCATGAAAATCAGGGAACAATGTCTCATCAAATAGTAAATATTAATAAAGTGATTAAAAATTATTTTTAAAAAGAACCAAATAGAAATTTTGGAGATAAAAAGTATAATAGAAAGGCAATTTCATTAGAGGTGTTCACCAACAGATTTGGTCAGACAGAAGAAAGTATCAGTATTATATGAAGACAGGCAAATTAAGATTATTTCATCTGAGGAATAAAAACAAAAAAAGTGAAAAAGATAGATATGCAGAGCCTACGAGACCAGTAGGACAATACCAACTATACCAACACATGCATAATGAGATTCCAAGAGGGACAGGAGAGGGAGAAAGCAGAAAGAATTTTTGAAGAAATAATAGCCAAAACTTCCCAAATTTGATGAAAGACACGAATCTCTACATACAAGAATAACAACAAAATCTAAGAAGGATGAATTTTAAGACACATCAAGACACACTATAGTAAAATTGCTGAAAGCCAAAGAAAAGAGAAAATCTCGAAAGCAGAAAGAGAGAAGAATCTAATCACATATAACAGTAGTAACAGTCAAAGAACAGGACAATTACAGTCAAAAGTATTAACAGCCAATTTTTCTTCAGAAATCATGCAGGCTAGAAGGCAGTAAGATAAAATATTTAAAGTCCGGGGGGGCGGGAAACGGTCAAGTATGAATTCTGTATCTGGCAAAACGATCCCCCCAAAATAAAGAAAAAATTAAGATATTCCCAGATAAATAAAAACTGAGAAAGTCTTTCACCAGTAGACATGCACTACAAGGCATGTTAATAGAGAGGCCATCAGGATGAAAGGACACTATACCATAACTTAAGCCATATTTTTTAAACGATCACACCTCTTGCTCCAGCCAGAGCTTGGGGTTAGGTCTTCACTGCCATGTGTCCTCTGTTTCGGGAGGCCTAGGTGATTCTGCCACAGCCTCCATCATTCTGTGACCTGCTGTTATTGGAAGATTTATAGCTAAGACTCCAGGACATCCCTGACTCTGAGACATGGGACTCAATATTCAGAGACGTGGCCATAGAATTCTCTCCAAAGAGTGCAAATGCCTGGCCCCTCCCCAGTGGAATTTGTATAGAGATATGATGTTAGAGAACTATAGAAACCTGGCCTTCCTGGCTATGTATTCTTTTTTTTTTTCTTTTTGAGATGCAGTTTCGCTCTTGTTGCCCAGGCTGGGACGCAATGGCACAATCTCAGCTCACTGCAACCTTCACCTCCCAGGTACAAGCAATTCTCCTGTATCAGCCCCCCAAGTAGCTTGGATTACAGACATGTGCCACCACACCCGGCTAATTTTTTCGTATTTAGTAGAGATAGGGCTTCACC
Organism: Homo sapiens; assembly: GCF_000001405.40. Classification (NCBI taxonomy): domain Eukaryota; kingdom Metazoa; phylum Chordata; class Mammalia; order Primates; family Hominidae; genus Homo; species Homo sapiens. The sequence goes on from NC_000010.11 coordinate 80,298,081, forward strand.
ATGTTAGTCAGGTTGGTCACGAACTCCTGACCTCAGGTGATCCACCGCCTCGGCCTCCCAAAGTGCTGGGATTACAGGTGTGTGACACTGCACCGGGCTGGCTATGTATTCTTATTACAACCAAGGCCTTTCACCTGAGCAAGGCATAGACGATTCATTCTAAAAAGTGACACTGGGAAGATATGGGAGCTGTGGCCTTAAAAATGTACACTTATGGAAAAATTGTGAAAGTGTGGGTGAAGGTAGAGGGCAAAAAGAACGTTATAATGTACATAGCCAATATTAGACAACTACTCATAACAAAATTTTAACTGTGAAAGGAGATCAAAAACAGAATATTACAGAAGAAGGCTCAGTTTATGTTGGCTACTTCTACAGAAGCATATGTTTCTGTAAGTAAATATCAACATCAATTTTTGAAGTCCATCTGTTGTAATGAAAATCAGAAAAACTTTAACCATGACTCAAAAATTAGTAAGCATCAGAGTACTCATTTTCTAGAAAATGATTATAAATGTAATGAATGTGGGAAAGTATTTTATTGATCCTCAAAATTTATTTTTCATCAGAGTATCCTATTCCAGAAAAGCCTGACAACTGTAATGAATATGGTAAAACTTCTAGCCAGTCCTTAAAACTTTCTCAACATCAAATAATTAACATTGGAGAGAACTCACAAAGATGTAACAAATGTATAATAGTCTTTAGTCAGTCATCACATCTAAATAGACATAAGTTAATCAACACTGGAGAGAAATCATTCAGATGTAAATAATGTGGCAAAGCTTTTACCTGGGACTCACATCTTAGACAACATCAGAAAATCCATACTGGAGAGAAACCCTTCAAATATAAAGAATGCACAAAGCCTTTAACCAATATGCACACTTTATACAACATCAGAGAATTCACACTGGAGAGAGACTTTTTAAATGTAAAGAATGTGGAAAAGCTTTAAACTGGGGCTCACAACTTACTCAACATTAGAGACTCCATACTGGAGAGAAACTTTTCGAATGTAAAGAATGTGGCAAGGCCTTTAACAGGCACTCAAACCTTACTTAGTATCAGATAATTCACCCCAGATAAAAACCCCACAAGTATAAAGAATGTGCCAATGCCCAAAACTAGTGCTCACACCTTACTCAACATTAGAAAATCAATTCTAGATAGAAATCTAATACATGTAATGATTTTGAAAAAAATATTTGCTCAAGATATATACCTTAGAAAACACCACATTATTTATGCTAAAAAACATTTTTACACATATAAAGCAGTTATCAAAGCCTTTAGCTGTTGCATAAATCTTACTTGACAGAGAGTTCCCATAGCAGAGAACCCATACAAATGTAATAAATGTGAAAAGACCTTTATCCAAAATATATACCCTAGAAAACATCAGAGTTTATGCTAGGAAGAAATTACAGGCTCAATAAATGTAGGAATGTATTTAATAAAAATTAAAGTCTAAATTAAAATCAGAAGAATCGCCCTAGAAAGAACTAAAGTAATAACACTTTGAGACATTACTCTAAATCAGAGTGGTTATTACAGAGAATAATCCAAACTCAAAATAATTAGGTAATTGTATGTTTGAAAAAAGTAAAGACATTGAATATGATTATACCTATCCATCAATGTACACTTTTTTATAATGACAGTATTTGAGATTACATGAAAAAATATTAATGTAATTAAATTCAAATTACTCTTATTTCTTTATTCCAACTGTTTTTGTAAAAGCATGTGGTCAATTGTTGCTACCTCCAACCTATGAGAGGCCCTTCTATATTAGGTAGGCATTATACACATTAACTCTCCCACAAAAGATGAAGAGCATTGACATGTACAACATATGATAAAGTGCATGTATGTTTAAATCTAAAATCTAAATCTTAAATCTAAATAAAGGTGCTCTTTTTGTTTGACTTACAGCAGTGTTTTAAGTCATGTATGAGTTCGCTGTTCAGAATATCATTGTTCCGCATTAAAGTATGGGACAGAAACACAGTATGAGACAGTTTTAGAAATATTGCTATTAATAGCAATAAACAAATCTTCACAAATATCACAGAACAGTGTAAATAACTTCCCTCTGATAAGACATAGACTAATTGTGAATTCAACTCTGTAAATGCTTGGCCTCAGTTTAAAAAATGAATGTAGCACATTTTTTCACATAGATCATGGTATCAGAATAACAAGAATGTTTGAATGTCTACAGTCTGCATTTTATCCATCAAGAAAACAGTAGATTTTGAAATGCTCTATTCAGCTATGTGTAAACTTAATTTGTTTTTTAAAAAAATAAAAATAAAATGGTTTTTAATTTTGAAAAAAGAGGCTGGGTGCGGTGGCTCACACCTGTAATCCCGGCACTTTGGGAGGCCAAGGCGGGCTGATCACGAGGTCGGGAGATCAAGACCATACTGGCTAACACGATGAAGCCCCGTCTCTACTAAAAATCCAAAAAAATTAGCCGGGCTCGGTGGCGGATGCCTGTAGTCCCAGCTACTCAGGAGGCTAAGGCAGGAGAATGGCATGGAACTGGGAGGTGGAGCTTGCAGTGAACGGAGATCACGCCACTGCATTCCAGCCTGGGTGACAGAGCAAGACTCTGTCTCAATTAAAAAAAAAAAAGAAGTAAAGATCACAGTACATATATAAATACATAAGTAAATTTAAACATATAGTCACTGCAGTGTTCATTTGTAATCCCTCTTTCTCATTTTATTTAAAAGACAAATGCATAAAACAATAATCCATGTTAATGAATATATAATGTACAAAGATGTAATTTGTAACAATAACAAAGTAAAGAGGGAAATTAAGCTCTAAAGAAGTATTATTTTTAGCCAGACAGTGCCTCATGCCTATAATTGCACCACTTTGGGAGGCTGAGGCAGGAGGATCACTTGAGGCCAGGAGTTTGAGACCAGCAAGGGCAAAAGAGCAAGGCCTCATATGTACTAAAAATTAAAAAGAAAAAAATTAGCCAGGTGTGATGGTCTGTGACTGTAGTACCAGCTACTCAGAAGGCTGAGGTGGGAGGATTGCTTGAGCCCAAGAGTTCAAGGTTACAGTAAGCTATGATCACACCACTGCACCCCAGCCTGAGTGACAGAGCAAGACCCCACCTTAAAAAAATAAAATAAAATAAAAATAAAGGAATATCATCTTTGTACACTATTGAAACTATATTAGTATTAATTCAAACTTGATTTTATGAACCTAGATGTTAATTATAATCTGAAGCATAACCGCTAAGAAAAAAACTTTAAAATATACAGAAAAAGAAATAAGAAGGGAAGCAAAATGGTACAGTAGGACAACTCAATCACAAAAAGGCAGTAATGGAGAAACAGACAAATAAAAACATACAACATACAGAAAGCAAATAGCAAAATGGCAGAAGTAGGTTCTTCCTCATCAGTTACTACTTTAGATAGATTAAACTGTCTAATTATAAGGCAGAATGGGTTGAAAAATCCAACTATATACTTTCTACAAGAGACATTAGATTCAAAGACACAAATAGGTTGAAAGTGAAATGATAGAAAAAGGTATCCCATACAAATAGTAACTAAAGACAGTTGGGGTGGGAAAACTAATATCAGACAATAGAATTTATGTCAAAAATTTTTTTTACAAGAGACAAAGAAGGACATTATATATTGATAAAAGGATAAATCTATCACAAAGCTATAACAATTATAAACATACATGCACTTAATGACAGAGCAGCAAGCTATATCAGGCAAACACTGACAAGATTAAAGGGAGAAATATAGAGTTCTACAATTATAGTTGGAATTTTCAATAGCCCATTTTCAATAATGGATAGAACAATTACACAGAAGAATATTATCGAAATAAAGGTCTTAGATGACATAAACTAAACCTAACCAACACATAGAAAACTCTACCCACCAACAGCAGAAATACACAAGTACACACGGAACATTCTCCAGGACATACCATACAACAGGCTACAAAACAAGTCTCAGTAAATTGTAAAGGACTGAAATCATACAAAGTATCTTCTCTTACCACAATGGAATGAGGCTAGAAATCACTAACAGGAGGAACACTGTTGCAAAATATGTGAAATAAGCAAATACATGGAAATTAAGCTACACACTCATAAACAATCAATGGGTCAAGAAGAAATTACAAGGGAAATTTTAAAATACTTAAGAGATGAATAAAAATGGAAACAGAACATAGCAAAACCTATGGGATGCAGAGAAAGCAGCATTCAAATGGATAGGTATAGCTATACATGCTAGTATTAAATAAAGAAAAGAGATCCAAATCAATAACTTAACTTTACACTTTAGGAAGCTAGCAAAAGATCAAGCTAAATCCAAAGTTAGCACAAGGAATTAAATTATAAAGATTAAGAGTGGAGGAAAATCGGTTGAAGGAGGTGTCTCATGCCTTAAATACTAGCACTTTGGCAGGCCAAAGAGGGTGGATAACTTGAGTCCAGTAGTTTGAGACCAGCCTGGACAACATGGCAGAACCCCATCTCTACAAAAATACAAAAAATGAGCTGGGCGAGGTGGTGCACATATGTAATCCCAGCTACTTGGGAGGCTGAGGTGGGAAGATTGCTTGAGCCTGGGAGGTGGAGGTTGCAGTGAGCCATGATCATGCCACTGCATTCCGGCCTGGACAAAGACTGAGATCAGAAAATTTAAAAAAAATTTTTTTAATTAAAAAAATGAGTAGAGGTAAATGAAACATAGAAAAGTTAATAAAGCCAAAAGTGATTCTTTGAAAAAGATCAATAAAACTAAAATTTTTTTTGAACTGATTGAAAAAAGAAAGAAGGTTCAAACAAATAAAATCAGAAATGAAACTGGGGACATTACTACAGATCTTGCAGAAATAAAAATAATCACAAAAGAATACTATGGGTTGGGTATGGTGGCTCACACCTGTAATTCCAGCACTTTGGGAGGCTAAGGCAGGTGGATCACTTGAGGCCAGAAAGTTTGAGACCGGCCTGGCCAACATGGCAAAATGTTATCTATAATAAAAATACAAAAATTAGCCAGGCGTGGTGGCATGCACCTGTAATCCCAGCTACCCAGGAGGCTGAGGCACAAGAATTGCTTGAGCTCAGGAGGCAGAGGTTGCAGTGAGCTGAGATCGCACCACTGCACTCCAGCCTGGGTGATACAGTGAGACTCTGTTCAAAACAAAAAAAAGAATAATCTGAACAATTACATGCCAATAAGATAACCAACATGAAATGGTCAAATTCCTAGAAAGATATAAACTACCAAAATTGACTCAAGGAGAACTAGAATTAGTCATTAAAAGTCAATTACAAATTATTAAAATTTCAATGTAAGAGATTGAAACAGTGATTAAAATATAACAAAGAAAAGCCTGCAGATGGCTTCATTGGTGAAGTCTACCAAACATTCAAAGAAGAATTAACACCAAATTTTCCCAAACTCTTCTAAAAAAAATAGAAGATGAGACAAAAACACTGCCTAACTCATTCTATGAGGCCAACATTACATTAATACCAAAGCCAGACAAAGACATCACAAGAAAAGATTATAGATCAATATACCTATTAAAAAATACAGAAATCCTCAGTAAAATGCTAGCAAATCAAATCCAGAAGCATATTAAGAAAATTATAGGCCAGGCATGGTGGCTCATACATGTAATCCTAGTACTTTGGGAGACCAAGGCAGGAGGATTGCCTAGGCCCAGGAGTTTCAGACCAGCCTGGGTAACATGGCGAGACCTGGTCTCTACAAAAATTTTTTAAAATAGCCAGGCATGGTGGCACACACATGTGGTCCCAGCTACTTGGGGGACTGATACAAGAGGATCGCTTATGCCCAGGATATTGAGGCTCAGTGAGGCATGACTGCACCACTGCACTCCAGCCTTGGTGACAGGGTGAGACCCTGTCTCAAAAAAAAAAAAAAAAAAAAAGTAGGAGGTCCGTTCCAAGATGGCCGAATAGGAACAGCTCCGGTCTGCAATTCCCAGCATGATCGAGACAGAAGACAGGTGATTTCTGCATTTCCAACTGAGGTAACTGGTTCATCTCATTGGGACTGGTCAGAAAGTGGGTGCAGCCCACGGAGGGCGAGCCAAAGCAGGATGGGGCATCGCCTCACCTGGGAAGTGCAAGGGGTGGGGGAATTTCCCTTTCCTAGCCAATGGAAGCTGTGACAGACTGTACCGGGAAAATCGGGAGACTATGATTCTAAACACTGCGCTTTTCCAATGATCTTAGCAAATGGTACACCAGGAGATTATATCCCATACCTGGCTCAGTGGGTCCCATGCCCACAGAGCCTTGCTCACTGCTAGTCCAAGATGGAACTGCAAGGTGGCAAGCCTGCCTGGGGGAGGGGCGTCTGCCATTGTTGAGGTTTGAGTAGGTAAACAAAGCAGCCTGGAAGCTTGAACTGAGTGGAGCCCACCGCAGCTCAACGAGGACCACCTGCCTCTGTAGACTCCACCTCTGGGGGCAGGGCATAGCTGAACAAAAGGCAGCAGAAACTTCTGCAGACTTAAATGTCCCTGTCTGACAGCTCTGAAGAGAGCAGTGGTTCTCCCAGCATGGTGTTTTAGGTCTGAAAAGGGACAGACTGCCTCCTCAAGTGGGTCCCTGACCCCTGTGTAGCCTAACTTGGAGACACCTCCCAGTAGCAGCTGACTGACACCTCATACAGCCAAGTGCCCCTCTGAGACAAAGCTTCCAGAGGAAGGATCAGGCAGCAATATTTGCTGTTCTGCAGCCTCCACTGGTGATACCCAGGCAAACAAGGTCCGGAGTGGACCTCCAGTAAACTCCAACAGACCTGCAGCTGAGGGACCTGACTGTTAGAAGGAAAACTAACAAACAGAAAGGAATAGCATCAACATCAACAAAAAAGACATCCACACCAAAACCCCATCTGTAGGTCACCATCATCAAAGACCAAAGGTAGATAAAACCACAAAGATGGGGAGAAACCAGAGCAGAAAAGCTGAAAATTCTAAAAAACAGAGCGCCCCTTCTTCTCCAAAGGATCGCAGCTCCTCGCCAGCAATGGAACAAAGCAGGACAGAGAATGATTTTGATGAGTTGACAGAAGTAGGCTTCAGAAAGTTGGTAATAAACTTCTTTGAGCTAAAGGAGGATGTTCAAACCCATCGCAAGGAAGCTAAAAACTTTGAAAAAAGATTAAATGAATGGCTAACTAAAATAAACAGTGTAGAGAAGACCTTAAATGACCTGATGTAGCTGAAAACCACGGCACGAGAACAACGTGACACATGCACAAGCTTCAGTAGTTGATTTGATCAAGTGGAAGAAGGGGTATCAGTGATTGAAGATCAAATTAACGAAATGAAATGAGAAGAGAAGTTTAAAGAAAAAAGAGTAAAAAGAAATGAACAAAGCCTTCAAGAAATATGGGACTATGTGAAAAGATCAAATCTACGTTTGATTGATGTACCTGAAAGTGACGGGGAGAATGGAACCAAGCTGGAAAACACTCTTCAGGATATTATCCAGGAGAACTTCCCCAACCCAGCAAGGCAGGCCAACATTCAAATTCAGGAATACAGAGAACACCACAAAGATACTCCTCGAGAAAAGCAACCCCAAGATACATAATTGTCAGATTCACCAAGGTTGAAATGAAGGAAAAAATGCTAAGGGCAGCCAGAGAGAAAGGTCGGGTTACCCACAAAGGGAAGCCCATCAGACTAACACCAGATCTCTCAGCAGAAACCCTACAAGCCAGAAGAGAGTAGGGGCCAGTATTCAACATTCTTAAAGAAAAGAATTTTCAACCCAGAATTGCATATCCAGCCAAACTAAGCTTCATAAGTGCAGGAGAAATAAAATACTTTACACACAAGCAAATGCTGAGAGATTTTGTCACCACCAGGCCTGCCTTACAAGAGCTCCTGAAGGAAGCACTAAACATGGAAAGGAACAACTGGTACCAGCCACTGCAAAAACATGCCAAATTTAAAGACCATCAATGCTAGGAAGAAACTGCATCAAACAATGGGCAAAATAACCAGCGAACATCATAATGACAGGATCAAATTCACACATAACAATATTAACCTTAAATGTAAATGGGCTAAATTCTCCAATTAAAAGACACAGACTGGCAAATTGGATAGAGTCAAGACCCATCAGTGTGCTGTATTGAGGAGATCCATCTCACGTGCAGAGACACATATAGGCTCAAAACAAAGGGATGGAGGAAGATCTACAAAGCAAATGGAAAGCAAAAAAAATGCAGGGGTTGCAATCCTCGTCTCTGATAAAACAGACCAACAAAGATCAAAAGAGACAAAGAAGGCCATTACATAATGGTAAAGGGATCAATTCAACAAGAAGAGCTAACTATCCTAAATATATATGTACCCAATATAGGAGCACTCAGATTCATAAAGCAAGTCCTTAGAGACCTACAAAGAGACTTAGACTCCCACACAATAATAATGGGAGACTTTAACAACCCACTGTCAATATTAGACAGATCAATGAGACAGAAGGTTAACAAAGATATCCAGGATTTGAGCTCAACTCTGCACCAAGCAGACCTAATAGACATCTACAGAACTCTCCACCCCAAATCAACAGAATATACATTCTTCTCAGCACCACATCTCACTTATTCCAAAATTGACCACATAGTTGGAAGTAAAGCACTCCTCAGCAAATGTAAAAGAACAGAAATCACAAGAAACTGTCTCTCAGACCACAGTGCAATCAAATTAGAACTCAGGATTAAGAAACTCACTCAAAACCGCACATCTACATAGAAACTGAACAACCTGTTCCTGAATGACTACTGGGTAAATAATGAAATGAAGGCAGAAATAAAGATGTTCTTCGAAACCAATGAGAACAAAGACACAACATACCAGAATCTCTGGGACACATTTAAAGCAGTGTGTAGATGGAAATTTATAGCACTAAATGCCCACAAGAGAAAGCAGGAAAGATCTAAAATCGACACCCTAACATCACAATTAAAAGAACTAGAGAAGCAAGAGCAAACAAATTCAAAAGCTAGCAGAAGGCAAGAAATAACTAAGATCAGAGAAGAACTGAAGGAGATAGAGACACAAAAAACCCTTCAAAAAAATCAATGAATCCAGGAGCTGGTTTTTTGAAAAGATCAACAAAATTGATAGACTGCTAGCAAGACAAATAAAGAAGGAAAGAGACAAGAATCAAATAGACTCAATAAAAAATGATAAAGGGGATATCACCGATTCCACAGACATACAAACTACCATCAGAGAATACTATAATCACCTCTATGCAAATAAACTAGAAAATCTAGAAGAAATGGATAAATTCCTGGACACATACACCCTCCCAAGACTAAACCAGGAAGAAGTTGAATCACTGAATAGACCAATAACAAGCTCTAAAATTGAGGCAATAATTAATAGCCTACCAACCAAAAAAAGTCCAGAACCAGACAGATTCACAGCCAAATTCTACCAGAGGTACAAAGAGGAGCTGGTACCATTCCTTCTGAAATTATTCCAATCAATAGAAAAAGAAGGAATCCTCCCTAACTCATTTTATGAGGCCAGCATCATCCTGAGACCAAAGCCTGGCAGAGACACAAACAAAAAAAGAGAATTTTAGACCAATATCCCTGATGAACATCGATATGAAAATCCTCAATAAAATACTGGCAAACTGAATCCAGCAGCATATCAAAAAGCTTATCCACCAAGATCAAGTTGGCTTCATCCCTGGGATGCAAGGCTGGTTCAACATATGCAAATCAATAAACGTAATCCATCACATAAACAGAACCAAAGACAAAAACCACATGATTATCTCAATAGATGCAGAAAAGGCCTTCAACAAAATTCAACAGCCCTTCATAATAAAAGTTTTCAATAAACTAGGTATTGATGGGACATATCTCAAAGTAATAAGAGCTATTTATGACAAACCCACAGCCAATATCATACTGAATGGGCAAAAACTGGAAGCATTCCCTTTGAAAACTGGCACAAGACAAGGATGCCCTCTCTCACCACTCCTATTCAACATAACGTTGGAAGTTCTGGCCAGGGCAATCAGGCAGGAGAAAGAAATAAAGGGTATTCAGTTAGGAAAAGAGGAAGTCAAATTGTCCCTGTTTGCAGATGACATGATTGCGTATTTAGAAAACCCCGTCGTCTCAGCCCAAAATCTCCTTAAGCTGATAAGCAACTTCAGCAAAGTCTCAGCATACAAAATCAATGTGCAAAAATCACAGGCATTCTTAGACACCAATAACAGACAAACAGAGAGCCAAATCATGAGTGAACTCCCACTCACAATTGCTACAAAGATAATAAAATACCTAGGAATCCAACTTACAAAGGATGTGAAGGACCTCTTCAAGGAGAACTACAAACCACTGTTCAATGAAATAAAAGAGGACACAAACAAATGGAAGAACATTCCATGCTCATGGACAGGAAAAATCAATATCATGAAAACGGCCATACTGCCCAAGGTAATTTATAGATTCAGTGCCATCACCATCAAACTACCAATGACATTCTTCACAGAATTGGAAAAAACTACTTTAAAGTTCATATGGAGCCAAAAAAGAGCCCGCATTGCCAAGACAATCCTAAGCCAAAAGAACAAAGCTGGAGGCATCATGCTACCTGACTTCAAACTATACTACAAGGCTACAGTAACCCAAACAGCATGGTACTGGTACCAAAACAGAGATATAGACCAATGGAACAGAACAGAGGCCTCAGAAATAACACCACACATCTACAACCCTCTGATCTTTGACAAACCTGACAAAAACAAGAAATGGGGAAAGGATTCCCTATTTAATAAATGGTGCTGGGAAAACTGGCTAGCCATATGTAGAAAGCTGAAACTGGATCCCTTCCTTACACCTTACACAAAAATTAATTCAAGATGGATTAAAGACTTAAATGTTAGACCTAAAACCATAAAAGCCCTAGAAGAAAACCTAGGCAAAACCATTCAGGACATAGACATGGGCAAGGACTTCATGACTAAAACATCAAAAGCAATGGCAACAAAAGCCAAAATAGACAAATGGGATCTAATTAAACTAAAGAGCTTCTGCACAGCAAAAGAAACTATCATCAGAGTGAACAGGCATCCTACAGAATGGGACAAAAGTTTTGCAATCTACTCATCTGACAAAAGGCTAATATCCAGAATCTACAAATAACTTAAACAAATTTACAAGAAGAAATCAAACAACCCCAACAAAAAGTGGGCAAAGGATATGAACAGACACTTTTCAAAAGAAGACATTTATGCAGCCTACAGACACATGAAAAAATGCTCATCATCACTGGTCATCAGAGAAATGCAAATCAAAACCACAATGAGACACCATCTCACACAGTTAGAATGACACTTATTAAAAAGTCATGAAACAACAGGTGCTGGAGAGGATGTGGAGAAATAGGAACACTTTTACACTGTTGGTAGGAGTGCAAACTAGTTCAACTATTGTGGAAGACAGTGTGGCAATTCCTCAAGGATCTAGAACTAGAAATACCATTTGACCCAGCGATCCCATTACTGGGTATACACCCAAAGGATTATAAATCATGCTACTATAAAGACACATGCACACGTATGTTTATTGCAGCACTATTCACAATAGCAAAGACTTGGAACCAACCCAAATGTCCATCAATGATAGACTGGATTAAGAAAATGTGGGCGCGGTGGCTCACGCCTGTAATCCCAGCACTTTGGGAGGCCGAGGTGGGCAGATCACGAGGTCAGGAGAGATCGAGACCATCCTGGCTAACATGGTGAAACCCCATCTCTACTAAAAATACAAAAAATTAGCCGGGCGTGGTGGTGGACGCCTATAGTCCCAGCTACTCGGGAGGCTGAGGCAGGAGAATGGCGTAAATTCGTGAGGTGGAGCTTGCAGTGAGCCAAGATCTGGCCACTGCACTCCAGCCTGGGTGACAGAGTGAGACTCTGTCTCAAAAAAAAAAAAAAAAAAAAAGAAAAGAAAATGTGGCACATATACACCATGGAATACTATGCAGCCATAAAGAAGGATGAGTTCATGTCCTTTGTAGGGACACGGATGAAGCTGGAAACCATCATTCTGAGCAAACTATCACAAGGACAGAAAAACAAACACCATACGTCCTCACTCATAGGTGGGAATTGAACAATGGAAACACTTGGACACAGGGTGGGGAACATCACACACCGGGGCCTGTTGTGGGGTGGGGGGATGGGGGAGGGATAGCATTAGGAGAAATACCTAATGTAAATGACAAGTTAATGGGTGCAGCAAACCAACACGGCACACGTATACATAAGTAACAAACCTGCACATTGTGCACCTGTACCCTAGAACTTAAAGTATAATAATAAAAAAGTAAATTATATATTATAACCAAGTGGGACTTATCCTTGCAGTAATGCAACAATGGCTAAACATACAAAAAAAATCAATGCAGTATGTCATACATTAATAGAATGAAAGAAAAAACACATGATCATCTCATTTTGACACAGAAAAAATATTTGCTAATATTCAGCATTCATCATAAAAATATGCAACAAACTAAGCACAGAAGTGAAACCCCTCAACATGATGAAAGGCATTTGTGAAAAACCTACCACTTACATTATATTCAATGGTGAAAGACCAAAAGCTTTCCCCCTAAGATAAAGACGTCTACCTTCATACGCCATTTAATATTTCAATAGAAGTTCCAGCCAGAACAATTAGAGAAGAAAAAGAAGTAAAAGACACCTAGAAATAAAAGAAAATGAAGAATAAAAGAAATGAAAGGGAGAAGTTAACCTATCTTTATTAGCAGATAACATGATCTTGTATATAGAAAATTACAAGGAATATACATACACACATACACACTTAGTAGAGCTAATAAACTAATTCAGCCAAATTGCAGTACACAAGATCAACACTCAAAAAAAAAATAAGTTGTGTTTCTGAGAAGAAAATTCTAAGAAGCCATTTATAATAGCATCGAAAAGGATAAAATATTTAGGAATACATTTAACCAAAAAGTTCAAGACTTAACACACTGAAAACTACAAAAATATTGCTAAATAAAATTAAAGAAAAGCTAAGTAAATGGAAGAACATCAGTGCTTATGGATTGGTAGACTTAATACTGTTAACATGTCAATACTCTAAAAATAATCTACAGAGTCAATGCAATCTCTAGCAACATCTCAGTGGCTTCTTTTGCAGAAATGAAAAAGCTGATCCCTAAAAGTCACATGAAATTGAAGGGACCCCAAATCACCAAAGAAAGTCTTGAAGAAGAAAAAGTTGGAGAACTCACACTTTCCAATTTAAAAACGTACTACAATGCTATCGTAATCAAAATAGTGTGGCATTGCCATAAGGATATATACACGTACAGACACACAATGAGACAGTATTGAGATTCCAGAAATAAACTCATACAGATGTGATTTTTTGACAAGGGTGCCAAGAACATTCAATAGGGAAAGCATAGTCTCTTTCACAAACAATGCTGAGACAACTGGATATCCAAATGAAATTGGAACCCTACCTCACAGCATATACAAACATTAACTCAAATCAAAGATCTCCACATAAAAGAGCTAAAACTATTAAACTCTTAGAAGAAAACATGGGGTAAATATTTATGACCTTGCATTTGTCAATGAATTCTTAGATATAATACCAAAATCATAAGAAATCAAAGAAAAAATTAGACCAAAGGATAAATTAGACTTCATCAAAATTTAAAACATCTATGCATCACAGGACATGATCAAGAAAGTGAAAAGACAACCTACAGAATGGGAGAAAAATATTCTCAAATCATTTATCTGATAAGGGTGTAGTACCCAGATTGTATTTTTAAAAACTCTCTTATACTTCAACAACAAACAAGCACACAGACACAGGGCCCCCCTCCCCCCAACACACACACACAAGAATGGGCAAAGGGCTTGAATAAGACTTTCTCCAAGGAAGATACAAGCACATGAAAAGATTCTCAACATCATTAGTCATTAGGGAAATGCAAATCAAAACCACAAGGAGAATCACTTCCCACTCACAACGATGGCTATAATTTTTTTAAAAAATAAAAAGATTGGCAAGGATGTGGAGAAATTGGTACCTTCATGCATTGCTAGAAATATAAAATGGTGCAAGCACTGTGGAAAATAATTTAGCAGTCCCTCAATAAGATAAACATAGAATTACCATATGACCCAGCAATTTTACTCCTATGCATACACCTAAGAGAAATGAAAACATGTATTCAAACAAGACTTTGCACATGAATGTTCATAGCAGCACTATTCTCAAGGACCAAAAGGTAGAAACAACACACATACCCATGAACTAATGAATGAATGTGGTATATGCATACAATGGAATATTACTCAATCACAAAAAGAAGTAAATATTGATAAATGCTATAGCACGCTTGAACCGCAAAAACATTATGCACAGTAAAAGTAACCAGGCACAAAAGGTCATACATTATATGATTCCATTTATTTGAAATATTTAGAGCAGGAAAATCCATAGAGACAAAAATCAGATTAATGGTTGCCAGGTGCTGGGGGAAGGAGACATGGGAGTGACTGCTTAATGGATATGGGGTTCTTTGTGGGGAAGAGTGATGAAAATATCATGGAATTATATAGAGGTAATGGGCCCGGTGCCATGGCTCTCATGTCTGTAATTCCAGTACTTTGGAAGGCTGAGGTGGGCTGATAACTTGAAGCCAGGAGTTTGAGACCAGCCTGGCCAATGTGGCAAAACCCCATCTCTACTAAAAATACAAAAATTACCCAGGCATGGTGGTGCGCACCTGTGATCCCAGCTACTTGGGAGGCTGAGGCATGAGAATCGCTTAAACTGGTGAGGTAGAGGTTGCAGTGAGCCAAAATTGCGCCACTGCACTCCAGCCTGGGTGATAGAGGGAGACTCTGTCTCAATAATAGTAATAATAAATAAATAAATAGAGGTAATGAATGGTTGCACAACATGGTGAATGTGCCAAATGACTCTGAAACATACACTTTAAAATGGTTAAGTTTTTGTGTAAATTTTACCTCAATTTAAAAAAAGGAAAGGAAAAGACTGATGAAAACAGGACTGAGGATGATGATGGCATGGGTGGAAGCACATTGGTGGGTGGATTAGGAAGGAGGCTATGGTTATATACAGGTTATTGTCGAGAATCAATTTATGTTGGTGGTAGTGGACATGAGATTCTATCACCATTATTCCATAGTTAGCGCTTATTACATTGTTATTATAGATTGTTCCAGATGGAAAAATAAAGTGAGTCACGAAAGGACTAAGGAACAGCACATATCACGAGACAAGAATTATGGTTGTGTTAGGCCGTCCTTGCATTGCTATAAAAAATACCTGAGGCTGGGTAATTTATAAAGAAAAGAGGTTTGATTGACTCACAGTTCTGCAGGCTGCACAGGAACCTTGGTACTGGCACCTACTTGGCTTCTGGGGAGGCTTCAGGGGGCATTTATTACTCATGGCAGAGGCACAGCCAGAGCAGGCAGCGGGGGTAGGGACAGCAAGCGGTGAGAGCTGCAGCAAGAGGTGGGGGAAGTGCCACACACGCTTTTAAACCACCAGATCTCGCGAGACTTCACTCACTATGGTGATAACAGCACCAAGCCATGAGGGTTCTGCCCCCCTGACCAAAACACTTCCCACCAGTCCCCACCTCCAACACTAGGTATTGCCTCTCAACATGAGATTTTTGATCCAAATTATATCAATGATTAGTCAATTTTAATGTAATTAAGGTCCAAATCAAAACTATTTAAAATCACCTGGGGGCAGGGGTGGTGGCTCACGCCTGTAATCCCAGCACTTTGGGAGGCCAAGCAGGGTGGATCATGAGGTCAGGAGATTGAGACCATCCTGGCTAACACAGTGAAACCCCATCTCTACTAAAAATACAAAAAATTAGCTGGCCGTGGTGGCAGCACCTGTAGTACCAGCTGCTTGGGAGGTTGAGGCAAGAGAATCGCTTGAACCTGGGAGGCGGAGGTTGCAGTAAGCCAAGATCGGGCCATGGGGTTTCACTGTTCTAGCAAGGACAGTCTCGATCTCCTGACCTCGTGATCCGCCTGCCTCGGCCTCCCAAAGTGCTAGGATTACAGGCGTGAGCCACCGGGCCCAGCCTGCGTTTGACTTTGTAACCACAGTGCTACCTAGAGGCCTCATCCACTGAAAGAGAAGCAGAAAAAAGAAAGGGAGAGGGTACAAGAAAGGGTTCACGCTTCAGGATCGTTATCCAGTAGAGGTGAATCAGTTTGCGGAGTCAAAAGTAATCTTCCAAAACTAGAAAGCAACAGGACGTCTCAAGCACCTCTGGGCTTTTAAAGTCTGGTTCTCATATGGAAATAGAAACCAAATGTTTCATACTTTTTGTACCAAATGGTGCTGTGGACTTCCAATTACTGAAACTGTTTCATTGTATTAGAGTTCTTTTTTAAAAAAATAACATGTATTGGGTTTTTCGTATAATGTATGGTAACTGTGAGACAATTTAGAAAATACAAAAAAAGAAAAACACTATCATCTTTCCACTCATAAATAAGTATAATTAATATATTAGTTTATTTCCTCTTGAAGGAAACATATCCACATATCTATACAGGTATAGTCCCCTGTATGTATTACTTAGATTTAAAACTTAAACAGCCAGGCGCAGTGGCTCATGCCTGTAATCTGAGCACTTTGGAAGGCTGAGGCGGGCAGATTACTTGAGGTCAGGAGTTTGCGAGCAGCCTGGCCAACATGGTGAAATCCTGTCTCTACTAAAAATACAAAAAAATAGCTGGGTGTGGTGGCAGGCGCCTGTAATCCCAGCTATTTGGGAGGCTGAGGCAGGAGAATTACTGGAACCTGGGAGGCAGAGGTTGCAGTGAGCCAAGATGGCGCCACTACACTCCAACCTGGGAAACAGAGCGAGACTCCATCTCAATCAATCAATCAATAACAAACATAGAGAGTTACAGTTTCAGATAAGATGGCATAGGCAGACTCCACCCTGTCTCTCCTACTGAATGCAGCTGTAAAACCTGGACAGACTGCATGGAGCAGCTATTTGAGTACTCTGGTAAGTAAATAGTATTGAGAGGTGACAGCGTGCTGGCAGCCCTCGCAGCCTTCCTCGCTCTGGGCACCTCCTCGGCCTTGGCGCCCACTCTGCCCGCGCTTGAGATCTTCAGCCCACCGCTGCACTGTGGGATCCCCTTTCTGAGCTGGCCAAGGCCAGAGCTGGCTTCCTCAGCTTGCTGGGAGGTGTGGAGGGAGGGGCGCAGGCGGGAACAGGGGCCCGAGGTGCTTGCGGGCCAGCGCGAGTTCCAGGTGGGCATAGGCTCGCCAGCCCCGCACTCGGAGCGGCAGGCCGGCAAGCCCGGGGCAATGAGGGGCTTAGCACCTACGCCAGCAGCTGCTGTGCTCGATTTCTCGCTGGGCCTTAGCTGCCTCCCCACTGGGCAGGGCTTGGGACCTGCAGCCCACCATGCCTAAGCCTCCCACTGCCTCCGTCCCGCTTCCACCCCAGGTGGGCTCCTGCGCAGCCCGAGCCTCCCCAACGAGGGCTGCTCCCTGCCCCAGGGCGCCCAGTCCCATCAACTGCCCAAGGGCTGAGGAGTGCAGTCCCAAGGCGCAGAACTGGCAGGCATCTCCACCTGTGGCCCCAGTGCGGGATCCACTGGGTGAAGCCAGCTGGGCTCCTGAGTCTGGTGGGGACTTGGAGAATCTTTATGTCTAGCTAAGGGATTGTAAATACACCAATCAACACTGTATCTAGCTCAAGGTTTGTGAACACACCAATCAGCACCCTGTGTCTAGCTCAGGGTTTGTGAATGCACCAATCGGCACTCTGTATCTAGCTAATGTAGTGGGGACATGGAGAACTTTTTTGTCTAGCTCAGGGATTGTAAACGCACTAATCAGCACCCTGTCAAAACGGATCAATCTGCTCTCTGTAAAACAGACCAATGGGCTCTCTGTAAAATGGACCAATCAGCAGGATGTGGGTGGGGCCAGATAAGAAAATAAAAGCAGGCTGCCCCGGCAAGCAGTGGCAACTCCGGTCCCTTACTACGGTGTGGAAGGTTTGTTCTTTCACTCTTTGCAATAAATCTTGTTGCTACTCACTCTTTGGGTCCACACTGCTTTTATGAGCTGTAACACTCACCGCGAAGGTTTGCAGCTTCACTCCTGAAGCCAGCGAGACCATGAACCCACCGGGAGGAACAAACAACTCCAGACATGCCGCCTTAAGAGCTGTAACACTCACCACGAAGGTCTGCAGCTTCACTCCTGAGCCAGTGAGACCATGAACCCACCAGAAGGAAGAAACTCCGAACACATCCGAACATCAGAAGGAACAAACTCTGGACACGCTGACTTTAAGAACTGTAACACTCACCACGAGGGTCCGTGGCTTGATTCTTGAAGTCAGTGAGACCAAGAACCCACCAATTCCGGACACAGTATTAGGCAGATAGGGAAAGAAAACTAGAATTCAAAGTACCACTGAAATGGCAATAAGGTTCCCATTTTTTCTCCTTCTTGTATCTCCAGTTTGTACTCACAGAAGCACAAAACCCAGAAGTGGCCACGAGGGCCCACATATAGAAAACTCCAGAAGTTCTCTAATTCTAACTCAGAAGCAGGAAAGGGAATTCCTCTCTTTGAGACAGTAAGGGGAAACTGCCTGTAGTTGTTTTTCTTTGTTCTGTTTTCCCAAGCCCCAGCCCCAGGATAGTTCCACAAAAGCAAAATGATTAGTGGAGGCCTGCAGGAACCTGAAACTCTGAGGAGAAACTCTATGACTGGAGCAGCTGTGGCCCCAAGTAAGTAGAGCAAACCCCTGTTGCTTTTTTTGTCCGTGTGTCCACCACCATTTGGCTTCAGATGCAGCACAGTCATGGAAAGTGCACAGTGGAGTGGGGGAACTAAAACCCACCAAGAAAGGGGAATCTGAGAAATGAGAGAGGAAATTGCTCAGGAATGCACCACCATCGAGTTGTACGTGCATGGAACTCATGCTAAACAGTATGCCAAAGCCACTGATAAAGTGAACCAAAGGAGAGCTCACTGCTCAGGTCCCACATTTATTTCTGTGTTAATTCAATTCAACTGTAGTTGGAGAACACGTTTTGTTTGATTTCAAATTTTTTAAATTTATTAAGACTTGTTTTATGTCCTAGCATAAATGATCTTTCCTGAAAATATTTGATATGTACTACTATTGTCGGGTGGAGTAGTCTATAAATGTCAGTTAGATCAAGTGAGTTGACAGAGTTGTTCAAGTTCTATATCCTTGCTGAGTTTATGTCTAGTTGTTCTGTAAATTACTAACAGTCAGGTATTAGAGTCTCCCAACCATTGTTGAATTGCATATTCCTCCTTTCAATTTGATCATTTTTGCTTTATCCATTTTAGGACTCTGTTAAGCACATACATGTTTATAATTGTTATATGTCTTCCTGATGACTTTTATTATGTTACTCTTTGATTTTAATATTTTTGTCTTTATTTACATGATATCACTTTTCCATGTCTCTTGTAGACAATGTATAGTTACATTTTGGTTTCTTATCCAGTCTGATGAACTCTGCTGAAGTGTTTTATCTCATTTACATTTAATGCAATTATTGATATGGCTGGATTTATGTCTGCTGTTTTCAATATAACTTTTAAAATTAAATGTTCAGAGAGACATCAGTATGAATTCATGCTTAGCTTAAATAGATACAGATTCATAGAGAAATATTTATAGATTTATATACACATGGGTTAGTATAGACACATAAATCAGCTGAGAAGGCTTAAATAAAGCAGCAGACCTCAGTAGCAACTAGCAACCAGATCTTGGCTTCTATAATCATTCTCCAATTAAAGAAGAAATTCTTGGAAAAATAGCTGATCTTAGCACTGGGGTAGAAAATATACAAGATGAACCTGTAGAATCTTCATAGTATAAGAAAGCAAGGAAAAACTAAAAAAAAAAGAAAAAGATGTGGGTATATCAAAGGGATATAGGAACCAGCTAAAAGAGCTCCCAGTGACCAAAGCTGAAATAATTTGAGTAATAAAGTAGAATTTATAACCTGAAATATAAAATGAAACTCGATATATCCATCCTGATATAAAGAAGTTATTTAATACATAAATAAATCTGGACGAATAGACCAATCTCCCATGCAGAAGAATTTCAGGTTATTTATTTTGATATTTCACCCTTAATAGAGTATAGGTGGGTGCGGTGGCTCACGCCTGTAATCCCAATACTTTGGGAGGCCAAGGTGGGTGGATCACCTAAGGTCAGGGGTTCAAGACCAGCCTGGTCAATATGGTGAAACCCTGTCTCTACTAAAAATACAAAAATTAGTCAGGATTTGTGGTGGAACAGAAAAAAAGACATTAGGGGAAAACTGATGAAATCTAAATAAAGTATTAACTTTAGACAATAATAATATATGAATATTGTGCTTCATTCCAGCTACTTGGGAGGCTGAGGCAGGAGAATCACTTGAACCTGGGAGGCGGAGGTTGCATTGAGCCCAGATTGCACCATTGCACTCCAGCCTGGGTGACAAAAGCAAAACTCAGTCTCAAAAAAAAAAAAAAAAAGTAGAATATAACTCCCACTCCTTAAGTCTATGCTGCACATAGTAACTTTCTTTCAAAAAGCACAGCATGGGAAAGGAGGAAAAAAAGTAACTTAACACAGTAGAAAACTGACAAAACACTACCTCAGCCAAGTGACCAAGGTGACCAACATCAACAGTGATAAGTCATCCTGATGATAGTTTGTACTGTTGATATTATGTGATGAAAACAGCAGTTTACTTTTGTGTCCTTCCTCCCAAAAACACATCACCTCACTTTAATCATGATGAAATAATCAGGCAAATCCCAACTGAAAAACATTCTTTAAAATACCTGACTAATACTTCCCAGAACTATCACACTCATCAAAACAAGAAAAATCTGAAACATTGTCACAACCAAGAGGAGCCTGAAGGGACATAACTTCTCAATGTAGGATCCTGGAACAGAAAAAAAGACATTAGGGGAAAACTGATGAAATCTGAATAAAGTATTAACTTTAGACAATAATAATATATGAATATTGTGCTTCATTAATTGTGACAAATGTATCATACTAATATAAAATGTTAATAGGATAAGTTGGGTTTAGGTTATACAGCAACTCTCTATACTATCTTTGCAATAATTCTATAAATCTAAAATTGTCCTGAATTTTTAAAATTAAATATTTATCTTGGCTCATTCACCCTTGCATTCATTTACTCATTGATTTTAATTATTTACTTAAACAGCTGCTATGTCCCAGATACTGCTCTAGTCTCTAGAGATACAAACAGCAAATAAAACCAAACATGGTTCCTGCTATCAAGGTGCTTAAGTCCAGTGGAAAAGAAACAAAGAACGCTAAGTGATTGTTAAGTCATAGAAGGAATAAGTCACTATTTTCAAAATTAAAAATTATTTTCTTGAATCTTCATTATAAAAGACTCAAGACATTAAAGGTCTGGGTTGAATATCACGCAATCTGACAATTGAAAATCAAGGAGCAGGATTTTCAAAGAGGAGCAAAAGGCAGTTCTTGAACCAAATAATGAAATCTCTAGGAGGCAGCCCAGCCTCCCAACCCTAACAGGGACAATTACTGAGTCTAGAGTCAATATCAGAGGGCCAGATTGGCTGTTGACTCTCTGCATGCCAGGTCTGTGCTGGGGGACAAAATGTGGAGAGGAAGCATCATGCCCTGCTGGAGTGCTGCATGAATAGTGGTTGTGCAGGCAGGACAGGTAGATGGGCAGCGGTACCAGGACAGGCTCCACTCCAGCTGCAAAGGGGTCCATGAACCTTCCCATCCTCCCATTTCTACATTCCACTCATTCATTCCTAGAATACAAATTAAACACGTACTATATGCCACACTAGGGTAGGCCAACCACATGTGTGCCAGGTGGATTGGGAAACAATATTGCAGGCAACAGGAACAACATGGACTAAGATTCAGGAGGTAGACAGTGCATAAAACCTTCATGACATTTCAAGTGGTTCAGTGAGGCTGGGGCACAGAGTGTGGGTTGACAAACAGAAGGGGAGGATACTGAGATGGTGGCAGAGGGCAGATCATGAACAGTTCTGTGGGTCCTCCAAGTTTACACTTTATCCTGAGGACAAAGAAAAGCCAATAAAGAGTTTCAAGCAAAAGATGTGCCTGGATGGGGCATATAGTCAGATAGGGACTTGTACAGAAACCACTCTGCTAGCTGCTATTGTGTGGAGACTGGACTAGACAGGGCTGTCCCAGAGGCAGGGAGATTGATTACATGGCAGAGTCAGAAAGTAGGAGGAGTAGAATTGGATACATCACTGGATGTAGGAAGCAAAGGAGTGGGAGGATTCAGGAATGACTTCTGACCTGGGTAAATATGCAGGATGAGTAGTAGAGTAACAAAGACAATAAACACAAACATTGTGTGTTCCCAGCATGCATCAGGCATTGCCAGAGGCAAATGTTGATGCTCCAGAGGGACTTGGGTGCTCTCAGTGACCTAGTCTAGGTCCCTAACATGCAAATACTGGTATTCCCTTCTATGTGCATTTCCCCAGCCTTCTTCCGAGGCAACAACTTGCTCAACAGGTAATAATCTACAAAAAATTTCAAGTAAACATTCTTTTATAGATATAAAATATAAAAATAATCCCAAACTCTGATAAATAGAGCAACTTCTACAGGGAATTTTTTTTTTTTTTTTTTTGAGATGGAGTCTCGCTTTGTTGCCCAGGCTGGAGTGCAGTGGCGTGATCTCAGCTCACTGCAAGCTCCGCCTCCCAGGTTCAGGCCATTCTCCTGTCTCAGCCTCCCGAGTAGCTGGGACTACAGGCACCCGCCACCACGCCCAGCTAATTTTTTTGTATTTTTAGTAGAGACGGGGTTTCACTGTGTTAGCCAGGATGGTCTCGATCTTCTGACCTCGTGATCCTCCCGCCTCAGCCTCCCAAGGTGCTGGGATTACAGGCGTGAGCCACCGCTCCCGGCTACAAGGAATTTTAAGAACATATGATTCTATATTAAAAAGCAATATTCCGAAGGTTGTTGGTATCATTAAGTAAACAGTCCTCATTTTACATAAGCAAACACACTCACCAAGATAAATATCCAGCTGAAGTAAAAATGGAACCAGCATGGGTGTGTTTAGAATTAGCCAGTAATTTCAGAGGAAAAAGCAGGAATGGGTGGAATAGAAGAGCAGAGTGTTATTGGCCAGTTCATCTCCCAATCAAGGGTAACCTTGGAGAGGGGAAGAAAGAGGATTATACAAGCATAATTGTTGATAGATAGAGTCTATGAATTATGCGTGCCTCTCCAGAATTCTCTGCCCAGCCAATCATAGCTCTGCTGGAGAATAACTTTTAATATTTTTAAAGCAGAAAACAGGCTGGGCGCCGTGGCTCACACCTGTAATCCCAACACTTCGGGAGGTCGAGGTGGATGGATCACCTGAGGTCAGGAGTTTGAGACCAGCATGACCAATATGGTGAAACCCCATCTCTATTAAAAATACAAAACTTAGCTCAGCATGGTGGTGTGCTCCTGTAGTCCCAGCTACTCCGGGCTGCTTGAACCCAGCAGGCGGAGGTTGCAGTGAGCCAAGATCATGCTACTGCACTCCAGCATGGGCAACAGAGTGAGACTCCATCTCAAAAATAAGAAAAAAAAAAGAAAAAATATATTGAGCCAAATCCATGAATCAATTCATAACCATCAATGTATTAATGTATTAAATATGATATACATGGTTTCTACATTTCAGAGAATTAGCTATCACCCTGTCTCAATCCTAAAAGCTCTTTACATAGAACACTGCTATAATGTACTTAAATTTCTATTTGACATCTGTCAGCATCCCGAAACACCTACGTGTACACACAAAGCTTCCATTTTGAAATAAAAACAAAATGGCCATAGCCAGTCAGTGTAAATCCCTTTTATTTTTAAAAACTGAAGATTGTGTCATCTGAAATGTTTAAATGTGTAGAAATTTAAAATATCACCTCCTTCGCTCTAAGTCAACTCACCCTAAACTCAACACCTTGGGTGGTAAATCTGGGATATTTACAGGCTCTCAGTCCACACTTTCCTCGTGGGGTTAAACAATTGACTGAAGGTTGCACAATATAGCCAAAGGCTATGGGAGAGACACAAGCAAGTCACCTTTTTCCCAGAATACAATGTCTTCACTATACAAATTCCTATCCCAAACAATGAAATAGGGAGTTAGAGCATTTGAGGGGAAAATTGTGGAGAAAGAAAATTCAGCCATGAAGTACTCTGGCTTTAGTTTTCTCTTGATATTTTTGTCTTTCCCTTATTTGCTCTAAAAAATATTTTTATATAAATGATTAGTACACTTTGAGTCTGAGTATTTTAAGTGAAAGGAGAAACTATTACTTAGATAACTTAGGCCAAACTGATCCTCTCACACAAGCTTTCATTCTGAAAATACATACGATTTGGTCACAAGTGTTTCATGTTCTCAAATGTCTACCTAATTATTTCATCTGGGGATTTGACAGCAGATTTTAAAAACCTTTATGTGGAAGGCAGCCTCTCCATCCCTACTCTTTCCCTGAGACCAGTTTTCTGGGAGAGTCTTGCAGTTTACAAAGCATTCTTACAGGTGTCAGCTCATTTGAGTGTCACAATGACTCTGATGTGGGGAGTGCTGACCTCATTTAACAGAGGAGGAAGCTGAGGCCCAAAGAGATTAGGTGATTTATTTTGGCTTGTACAACTGGTAAGTGGCACAACACCTAAACTCAGCCCTTCTGACTCCAAGTAGTCCCCTTTTCCTACGCTGAACTGCCTACTAAAGTTATTTTAATTTTTACCAATTCAAGATAAGTAATTACCTACAAATTGTGGCTGCTTATTTATCTGCTGCCAGCTACTCTAATGCCTTCTGCGCCATAGCTTAGAAAAAAGCCTTTTACACCCTCATTTGCAGAAAGCTTAACACTGACTGTTCCAAAGCTATACCCAAAGAATCCTTGAACAATGAAGCAAACACACATCTCTAATTCCACTGCTCAGTATTATCTGCTCTCACAAGAATCACTTGTACTGAAGTACTGAGTGCAGTGAATCATCAGACATCATAAAGGCTCAGAACCTGCAGCATGGGCCAGAGGCATTGTGCCACCACCCACCTCCCCACGCAAAGCAGCCCTCTACTACCTTCCTTAGAACTGCTGCTCTGCCCTAACCTCCTCCAGCAACCCCAGGGCCGATCAAACACGTTTCCTCTCCTCTCCTCTTCTGAGTATACCCCAGGCCCTTGTTATTCAGTGTGGTTCCTTGACTAGCAGCCTCAGCATCACCTGGGAGCTTGTTAGGAATGCAGGCTCTGGGGCCCCACCTTAGGCTTGGAAATTAGAATCTACAGTTTAAGAAAAAGCTCCAGGAATTTATAAGAAATTACAATATGAGAAGCAATACCCTATAAAAAAGGACAGAGCAACTGAAATCCATCCTCTCTGTCACACCATCCATCCTTGGCTACTGGTTCTTTAGGCTCTCAGAAGGTATTATGGCCACATTCAAACCCTTCAGCACCAGCCCACCTGCTCATCCATTCCCCTAGTATATCCAATCCAGCTTGGTTTTATGGTTTAGTAAAATAGCTTGGCTACTTTACACTAAAGTATGAATAGCTAAGTGCCTACGAACACAGTGGGTTCTGATGGAATGTTACTAAGAAATGATGAGAAAGTTTTAAAGTCAAAAAAATTTGGGTTTGTATCTCCATTCGCTCAACGATCAGCTGTGAGAATCTCAGAAGCTTAAATAACTCTCTGAAATTCCATTTCTGCCTGTAAAAATTTAAGCTGTTATCTATCCTATATAAGAAGTTGAAATAAAGTATCTTGTGTACCAGGACTGGCACATAGTAGGTGTTTTCTTTCTTTAATGAATGAACCATAACATCAGAGGTAACTAAATTTCAAAATAGTACTGACACAAATAAATATCTAGTTGGTGTCCCTCCAGCCAGTGCGGCCACATGGGAGACACTCTGGGGCATATAAGCATTTCCTGTGAGTCATAAAATCCCATCTGCCAACCACCATCAGCCTTAGCTACACTGGAAGTCACTCACTGCACACCCCCCACCTGGAAAATTCTCCTCTACTAACTTATACTTTAGAGTCCTCTGATTCAAAAGCTGCTTCCCTTTCTCCTTGAAGAGTTTAATCCCCAAATTGAAGAAACAAAAATAATGGCAAGGGTGTAGGTAAGTTGAGATGTTTAAACTGTGACAGGCTCGTTTTTAGCACTTAAAATTTCATTTCAGCAATATCACCAATGTACATGCAATGAGCTAGAATGCTTATTATTCATTAAAACTGGTAAGAGAGTGCTTTCCCTGATTTTGAAATTGTCAATTTGATTATTGACTGTACTTGAAGACAATTTAATTGAAAAATCTAAACGAAAATACATGAAATAATTTTTAAAGATAATCCTTAAACTACATAAGTTTTTCAGAACTAATAATGGTTCATTACTTTATTAAACAAAAGATCAAAAAGCACAAAATATTAAAAAAGAGACATGTAAATAAACCTTACTTTTGCCAAACAATAAAGACCATAAACCAAGTTAAAAGGCAACCAACGACCTGAGAGATTTCCCAACACATATAACCAGCAAAGAAATTCAGTCAGATAAACAAATCAATAGCAAGTATTAGCAAATAATATGAACATGCAATTCCCAGAAGAGCAAATCCATTGTCCAATAAACATAAAAAGATATGTAACCTCACTAATAATCAGAGAAATGCTAATTAAACAACAAAAAAGCTACCACATTGCACTCCCGCCATGGGTAAAAAATGTTGACGTGTAAGATTACCAAGTATCTGAAAGGATTTGACATAACAGGAACTCTGTCCTCCGGGTAGGAGTGTAAACGAACATGACCACTTTGGAACACAATCTAGCAATATCTAGTAGCTTGAGAATGGCCACAACCTGAGCCCCGGGAATCGCACAAGTGTGCCTTGTATACCCAGCCAAGAGTAGCATTTTCTTAAGTGAGATTGCTGACCAGCAGTAGCAGCAGCATCTGGGTGCTTGTTAGAAATGCAAATTCTCCAGCCTATCCCAGACTTAAAGACTTACCTGGGAGTGCCTTTTAAGAAGCCCTCCAGCAGATTTAGGTACATGCTCAAGTTTCAGAACCAAGAGAGAAACTTCACACATTAGTTCTCCCATCTTCCAACAGGAGATTGTGTCAGAAGGGTACTAGGAATGTGGTCCTTGATACATTTTTTAAGGAGGAGAGTCTGACAGACCTTCTTTACTAGTACAGTGTCACTTGCGAGTCAAGAGAAAATGTGCAAACAATGGGATTCCCTCAAATACACAGAGATACATACATAGGTATATGTATAAAAGTAAAGCATTTAAAACACTCCAAACACCCACCAATAGAAGAACTGGTGCAATGGTTATGTTACACAGCAGTTAAAATAAATGAAGTAGATATAAATGTATCAGCAGGAATAAATCTTGAAAATATAATGCTGAGTGAAAAAAGCATTAAGTTAAAATCTCACCCAAAAAACTGTCTTATTTATGGATAAATATACATTTGTATTAAGACATCAAATATGTATAAGTGGGAATTACATCCACTGATTTTAAGATAATGGTTATATGTGGGCAAGAAATAAGAGGAATGGCATGAAGGAGGGGTACAAAAACATCAACTGTAAGATTTTGTTTTTTAAAAAAGCCGCCAATATATGGTAAAATGGTAATATTTGTTAATTCTGGATTGGGATAAAAGACATTGCTTATATTATTCTGTGTACTCTTCTGCATATTTGGACTATTTTACAATTTAAAAATTTAAAAGTTATTCCTTATATTTGCAAATACTAGAAAGGCTTATTTCTGTTTAAGAAAAATATATTTCAAAATGACTACCTCAAAAGGCTTTTAAAATTGAATCTTTGTGACATCTAGTGGTAACATAGTTACAATTTAATATACAATTATAAATAAGCTTGATTCAATGTAGTATTGATCTCAGAACAGTTGGTTTAATTTGACTTTCACAAAAATTAATTCAATTTTCAAAAGCTTGTACATTTATTTGCTGTTTTCAGTGTTCTATTCCTGAATATATATATATATATATATATATATATATATATTTTTTTTTTTTTTTTTTTTTTTTGACACGGAGTCTTGCTCTGTCACCCAGGCTGGAGTGCAGTGGCGCAATCTCGGCTCACTGCAAGCTCCGCCTTCTGGGTTCACACCATTCTCCTGCCTCAGCCTCCCGAGTAGCTGGGACTACAGGTGCCCGCCACCATGCCCAGCTAATTTTTTGTATTTTTAGTAGAGACGGGGTTTCACCATGTTAGCCAGGATAGTCTTGATCTCCTGACCTCGTGATCCGCCTGCCTCGGCCTCCCAAAGTGCTGGGATTACAGGTGTGAGCCACTGCGCCCGGCCCTATTCCTGAGCAAGGTTATTATTATCTTGTATACGTTATTTCTGTGGCTCAGCTGATGGCTTCCTGAAATATGTGTCAATTATGTTAATTCTAGTGTCCCCAAAACAGGTGGCACCCCTGCCATCCCCCTCCCTGGCTCAGTGAGAGAGCCATGAAGGAAGTTCTTAGTGTCTCCTTTACACCATGTTAGACACCAGCCAGGCAAGTGTCCCTCGAAGCCAGACCGGCACCTCTGCCTGACCTGAGCGCTCAAGGACCCACCATTGTTCAAGATTCAGGTTCTTCCTTGTCCTTCCTTGTCCTCCACCCCCATTCGATCAACTCCCAAGCCCACCTATGAAAAGCGTCACACCCATCACTTGTTTCCTGTAGAGGTCCTACAAATTGTGAATGATGTGCGAGCAGAGACCATGTTTTGCGTATATGCTTCCCATGAGAACCCAGTACAATGCTTGATACATAGTAGGCACACTGTAAGTGTTCACTAAATTAATTTCCACTGCTACAACCTAGGTACCACCTTCATTACCTTAAGCCTAGACTATCTTAACAGCAACCTTATCCTAAAAAATCCTAAGTACCACCAATGAAGCATCTTAAAACATCTCTGTAACATAACACCACTTTCTCATCCACCACTCCCCAAAGGGATTTTCACTGTATAATTCCCATCTCTATTCCCATTGTCAGCAGATGCCATCTAAATATCTTAGCCTGCTATTTAATAGGCTTCAAAAACTAGTCCAGATCGACTTTATGAACTTCTCCCTCACGACATCCCTGTACAAATCAGTTAACCTTCAAGCATCCTACAGGCATTCCCAGCATTATTTATTTCTCTGCTCACATTTTTCCTCCTGCCCACCCACGATCAGTTATGTGCCTTTGTGTTTTGCTGGGTTTTGTTGGGTTTAGCCTCTTACTTCCATGAAGCTCGATGTGACTTCTCTCTATGTAGAGTTAATCACAGTAGCTACCAAAGGGGTCTGTTGAACCTTGCATCATTATTCATCTTCTTTCCTATGCCCTTGCTCACCATCAGGATGCGTGCACCTCAGTGGTAGGGGACCACCTCTCACACCAGTTTATGCACTCAGAATCTAGCTAAGTGCTCAGAAGGGGGACAACTAAAAGAGATGTGTCGAAATGAGAAAAACTAGGTAAAGAGTGGATGGCCATTGATTGCAATCGGTATAACCCCTTTTAAAGCATTTCATGTGGAAAGTAGCTGTGAAGGCCCCACATGATTCTAAATAATGTATTAAGCTGATCTTTTATATTTTGACAAGGAGCTGAAGACAGTGACAGCAGGAAAATGACTAGTTAAGAAACCAATCACTTGCGGCTTCAGAACATGAGAGAAAGAGGAGTGAGTATTAGGCTCACTGTATTGGTCTAGAAGCATGGCAACCACAGAAGAGTTAAGAATGACTCCCACACTATAAATTGGAGCATTTGGACAACAGTGAAGCCACTTTATTATACTAAAGAAGTGAAGAGGAGGCCAGGTATCATGGATCATATTTGTAATCCCAGAACTTCAGGAGGACGGCTGGAGCCCAGGAGTTCAAGACCAGCCTGGGCAACATGGTAAGACCCCATCTCTTAAAAAAAAAAAAAAAAAGTGAAGAGGATAAAAAACTTCTAGGAAAAGTGAAATAAACTCTGTTTTAGAGATAGGCACTTTTTAATGCTGTTGGAATCTGCAAATGTATTCAGTAGTTATATTTCTAACATAACTGGGTGACAGGACCAGTTTCAACACTTACTGGTACAATGCTGAATGCTACTCTTTGAGACTTCATTTCCCTATACTTTCAAACACAAGCTCATACCAACTCTATAAACTCCCAGGGGAGCTGTTGGCATTAGTAAGTACTCCATGCTAGTCTCTATTCTCTCTTCTTCACCAACTTCATGCCTGACCCCTTCCCACCGAGACACAGTCCCCGCCTGTCTTGCCCCAGTCCTCACAGTATGTGTCTAAGCTAGACAATGAGCATCAACCCTGGTTCTAATTTACAGGCAAGCTTCCTGGTGGGGCCATAGTCCTTCCTCAACCACTTGGCTGGACCAGATCCTTGCAAAATCCTTTCCCATGAGCTGTACCCCTCACTGTCTCCTCTGCTACCTTGACCTCCCCCTTCTCCCACCACTGCTCAGTTCCTGGCCAGGAACCTGCTTTGAACAAGGTCACCACCTCCTTCCCTCCAGCCACAGTACTGACACCTACCTGAGAGTAAGCATGGGAGCCACGCACTCCAGGGCTGCTCCTACCTGACTCTAAACCCCTATGGTCCCGCGACAGTCTCCCAATCCTCAGTTCCAGGGCACCTCCATTACCCACTGACTCTGTTCTACCTCTGTGTTTGTTATGAGCTACTGGAGAATATAATAACTCTGATGAGATCTCTATTTACCTCACACAGCACCTAGCATGTAATAGCAGTAGTAACTACTTGTTGAGTGCTTACTAAGTGCCAGGCACTGTTGTAAAAGCTTTCCATGAATTAACTCATTTAATCCTTCTCACAACCCTAAAGAGGTCAGCACTATTACTTTACTTAGTATACAAATGAGGAAGTTGAGGCAGAGCAGGCATTCATACATTTTTTAATGGATAAACTTCAAGTGGGTTCACAGAGTTGTCCATCAATCACTTTATTCATCCATTGCCCCAGAAGACATTGTAAAATTCATCCTCACTCAAGTACTTGACCAACCTCTGCCTTTCTTTCCTTCTTTACCAAGTGGCTCAGAGGTATATAATGCAAATTCTGCAGTGTACCCCTAACTCCTTCCAAGTATTCATCCTCCATACCTCAAAATGTCTGTCTCTATATTTTCCCCTCCTGGAGTGGAGGAAAAGGTGATTTATGAAGTACTTGTCTTCCTCTGATTTGTCCCACCCCCAATTCTTCTGGAACCCTGCTCTAATGCTTTGAGCTACACCTTCAGTCAACTTGCCACTTTCCTATTGCCAAAACACAAATGAAACTTCATTTCTCCCTACAAGGAGAATCCTTCCCCAGCCCTGTTACATCTTCAAGTCACTCTCTCTTCATCACCAAACTTCTCCAAAGACTGGCTTCACCAGCCCCTTTCCTGTCTACCAAAATTCACACCCTTAACCACCAGAGCTGAATTTCACCCCCATATCCTTAATAAAAACAGGGAAAAATCCTCAAAGGCCATTACAGGTCCTTCTACACATCACTCCCATCTCCTTCCCTCCACAACATTTGCCATTCTCCTGGAAACTCACCCTGGATGGTGAGGATGAGCTTCTGCCTCTGTCCATCCATTTGAGCCTTCTCTGGTCCCACTAACTACTCTTTATCCTGTTGCTGCCTCACCCCACCCCCAATTCAAATGGACATAACCTCCCTCAGAGATCCCTGCCAGTAACTCCCAAACCTTTGCATCCATTCTCAACTTTTCTCCTGGGTTTCATTCTGCCTTTCCAACAGTCTATGAAATAATTTTACACATATATCAGCCTGCTTTATCAAATAGTAAGTCTACAACTGAAGCTTTAGTCCCAAATATGGCCACTTCCCATTTTTTACTGACATCCTTAATCTAAAATGAGTCCTTCTGACTGCTCTCTGTCTCAGCACACTGCTTAATTTCCCTCACTGCCCCATTGCAATTTACTTTGTTCACTTGCTTCCTTTGGACTATATGTGCCATATGTTTAGGAACTATGTCTGTCTTGTTCACCATGACAAGCACAGTGTCTGGTATGGAGCAACCACTCCAAACATTTTTTGTTTACTCAATATGTCTTTGTTCTTCTAGCTCTTCTCAAATTGCTCTTCTTGAAGTCACCATGTTTCCAAGCCTAAACATCAGCAGTGATTGCTTACCTTGGCCTCCTCATTGAGTCACCAAATCCTGACTATCCATCCTTTATAAGACCATGGCATTTGACCGTTGCTTTCCATTTGCACTGCCACTTCAAAAGTCCTTTTTCAGGCAAAAAACAAAACAAAACAAAACAAAACAAAAAGACTCTTTAACCTATTTCTAAGTCTTTGACCCATCTATTCACTTCCTGAGATTGGGTCTTCCTACAAAATCAATTTGATCCCGTGATCAAAAGCCTTCAGTGCCACCCAACATGCCTTAACTCAAGTCCAAACCTTTGAAGCTGGTGTCCAGATCCTTCATGATCTGGCTCCTAACAGCCTCTCTACTCCTCTGTTTTGCCAGAATCCTTCACATCTCCATAGATCTCACATGCAAAAAATGTGAAACCATGTCTAAAGAAGTAAAGGAAAGTATATGAATGATGTTTTCCTTAAAAAAGTTAATAGATATAAATCCTAAAAAGGAAACAAGTAGACAATCTAGAACTGAAAAGTACAACAGCTGGAATGAAAATTTTACAAGAGAGACTCAACAGCAGATGTGAGCTGGCAGAAGAATGTATCAGAGACCAGTGGGACACCAAGTGTACCAACATATGCATAACAAAGTTGTAGGAGAAAGAAAGGAGCAAAAAGAATATTGAGAAAACTAAATATCCTAAATCTGATGAAAAATACTAATCTACACATCTAAGAAGTTTAATTAACTCCAAGCAGGATAAACCCAAAGAGATGTACAATGAGACAAATCATAATTAGTCTGTCAAAAGATAAGAACAAAAAGAGTGAATTTTCAGAGCAGCAAGAGAAAAGTGGCTCATCACATACAAGGGATCTTCAATAAAATTAATAGCTAATTCCTTATCAAAAACCTTGGAGGACAGAAGGCAGTGGGATGACATATTCAAGGTGGTGAAAAAAATGACAATCAATAATGCTATACCCAGTAAAACTATTCTTCAAAATTGAATGGGAAAATGTAATCTTATATTTGGAAAAACTTAAAGACGACAAAAAAAAACTATTAGAACTCATAAATTCGGTAGACTTGCAGAATACAAAATCAGCATACAAAAATCAGTAGCATTTCTATATGCCAACAGTGAACAAACTGAAAAAGTAATCAAGAAAGTAATGCCATTTACAATAGCTACAAATAAAATACCTAGGAATTAACCAAAGAAGTAGAAGATCTCTACAATGAAAACTGTAAAACATTGATGCAAGAAATTGAAGAGGACACGAAAAAATGGAAAACTATTCCAATTTCATGGATTGAAAAAATCAATATTGTTAAAATCTCCATACTACCCAAAGCAATCTATAGATTCAATGCAACACCTATCAAAATACCAAGGACATTCTTCACAGAAATAGAAAAACAATCTTAAAATTTATATGGAATCACAAAAGACCCAGCAAAAATAAAATGTGGAGGAATTACATTACCTGGTTTCAAATTATACTACAGAGCTATAGTAACCAAAATGGCATGGTACTGGCATAAAAGCAGACACATAGACCAGTGAAACAAAATAGAGAACCCATAAATAAATCCATATATCTACAGTGAATTCACTTTTGACAAAGGTGCCAAGATCATACAAACATTCTCTTCAATAAATGGTGCTGGAGAAACTGGATATCCATATGTAGAAGAATTAAACTAGTCCCCTATTTCTTGCCATATACAAAAACCAAATCAAAATGGATTAAAGGCTTAAATCTAAAGCCTCAAACTACAAAACAACTAAAAGAAAACATTGGGGAAACTCTCTAGGACATTGGAGTGGGCAAAGATTTCTTGAGCAATACCCCACAAGCACAGGCACCAAAACAAAAATGGACAAATGGGATCAAATCAAGTTAAAAAGCTTCTGCACAGCAAAGGAAACAATTAACAAGGTGAAGAGACAACACACAGAATGGGAGAAAATATTTCAAACTGCCCATTTGACAAAGGATTAATAAGCACAATATATAAAGACCCCAAACAACTTTAGAGGAGAACTAATTATTCAGTTAAAAAATGGACAAAGATCTGAATAGTCATTTCTCAAGAGAAGATATACAAATGGCAAACAAGTATATAAAAAGGTGTTCAACATTATTGATCATCAGAGAAATGCAAATCAAAACTATAATGAGATATCTCAACCTAATTAAAATGGCTTTTGTCCAAAAGACAGGCAATAACAAATGCTACCGAGAGTGTGAAGAAAAGGGAACCCCCCATATTACATTCCCTTTGGTGGGAATGTAAATTAGTACAACCACTATGGAGAACAGTCTGGATGTTCCTAAAAAAACTAAAAAGAGAGCTACCATACAATCCAGCAATCGCACTCCTTATGTATATACCTAAAAGGAAAGAAATCAGTATGTTGAAGAGATATCTGCACTCCCATGTTTATTGGAGCACTATTCACAATAGCCAAGATTTGGAAGCAACCTAAAGGTCCATCAACAGATGAATGGATGAAGAAAATGTGGTACATATACACAATGGAGTACTATTCAGCCATAAAAAGAATAAGATTCTGTCATTTACAACAACATGGATGGAACTGAGGTCACTATGTTAAGTGAAATAAGCTAGACACAGAAAAACAAAAGTTCACATGTTCTTACTTATTTGTGGGAATTAAAAATGAAAACAAACGTATGGAACTACAGAGTAGGAGGATGGATGGTTACTGGAGGCTGGGAGGGATAGTGGGGGGTGGGAAACTAGGGATGGTTAATGGGTACAAAAAAATAGAAAGAATGAATAAGACCTAGTATTTGATAGCACAACAGGGTGAGTAGAGTAAAAAATAATTTAATTATACATTTTAAAAGAACTAAAAGAGTATAACTGGATTGTTTGTAACACAAAGGATAAATGCTTGAGGTGATGAATATCCCATTTACCTTGATGTGATTATTATGCATTGCATACCTGTATCAAAACATCTCATGTAACCCACAAATACATACACCTACTTTGTACCCACAAAAATTAAAAATTAATTTTAAAAAAGATTCAAGGAAAATGTGTGTTTGGTGCACATGTATTTAAATGGTCTCATTTTGCATGAGGAGAAAACTTAATTACCTATGTTAAGAAGCTTGATATCTCCCATGCTTTTATCCATTCCTTCTTCTGGAATCTTTGCCTTCCTCAAGACCAGTTCATCAGTAAAATCTAGAGTAGGTCAATTGAGCCTAGGATGTCATCCAGCAACAGAAAGCTTGTCAAAATAGGAACCATTTCCATCCCTACCACTGGGTGAGTCTAAAATGAGTACCGCTGCTATCAGCAAGACCCTCTAAGACTCTGAGATACAGCTCAGGGTAGCAGCTTTATTTGAGAGTCATCTCCCTGCAAGGACAGGAGCCTCTCTTACTTCCTCCTCTCTCTTGTGCCTAGCTCTGGCTAAGGGTACTTAATAAGACTATACCCTTCCAGAACCACAGTGTTTCATGCTGTGACTAGCTGACACAGAGGGACTTTTGCTGCCAAATCTGCCTCCAAGCCACACCCTCTGGAAACTGCCACAGGCTATGCTGAGCCCAAAGTTCTCTGAGCCTGTCTTTTACCCACAGGCCTCTATGATGGTGCCCTTTGGGCTGAGTCAGGGTCTGGAAGTACACTCTGCTCCTTGTCTCCCTTGGACACTCTTGCCTGGGTAGATGTGAATGCAGGTCATCCATGCTGGGGACACAGTGCCTGGAAATTGAATTCACACAGAAATCATATATCGCTCCAGGGTACCTGGAAGTTTTTTCCTCAAAAATGTACAGAACTGGTATGACAGGATAACATTCTTAATTAAACATTTTTAATGAAACTATAATTTATCTTTTTATCTCTTCCTATTTGTCTTAGTCCATTTTGTATTTCTATAACAGAATATTACAGAATGGTAATAAAGAAAATACATGTATTTCTTACAGTTTTGGAGGTTGGGAGGTCCAGGTCAAGGGGCCTGCAGCTGGTGAGGGCCCTCTTGCTGTGTCATCCCATGGCTGAAGGTGGAAGGACAAGAAAGTGCAAGAGAGCAAGAGGGGGCCGAACTCACTTTTATAACAAGCCCACTCTTACCATAACTAACCCACTTCTGTGACAATGGCATTCATCCATGTATGAGGGCAGAGCCCTCATGACCTAATCACCTCTTAAAGGTCTTACCTCTCAACACAGTTGTATTTGGGAAGGGAGGGGGACACGTTCAAACGATAGCACCATTTAGGCAAAAGGACCACTCTGTACTCATTGCCTCAGGAAAAGTACATTATAAGCCAAAATAGAATTTTTTTTTAAAGGAGCCTCTCTTGGTATTTGCGTTTTCGCACCTATGTCCTTAAGAATAGAAAGGACTCACATCACAGATTTGGAAGAATTTTGTAAAGGAAGTAAGGTTCTCTGCAGAGTCTAAGGATAGAACTGAAACTTCAAAGGGGCCAGGAGTGTGTGGCCTGTATTCAGTCAGATCTTCTCACCAACAGTTGCCCCAATATTTGAGCCCACTGATTGAGCCAGAAGACATGATACTTCTTTGCACCCCAGAACTTTGTTTCATCCCATTCAATTCACTCTATGTGAACACATCCTGCAATATCCCTAGACTTTATAAACCCCAAAGAGGAAGACAGGAATCCGGACGCCCAGCTGGGCAGAAAGGTGAGGAAGGGAAAGTCCTCATATCTGTTCCTGGCTGTGGAGGAACAAGCTAAGCTGGAGGAAACTCCCCCACCAGGACAGTGATGAAACACTTCTTCCCCCTTAAACACCATCATATAAGTGTGGCTTAAGTGGTTCTATGAAGCATCAGCTCCCAGCAAACTGGGGAGAGCTCTGCAGTTCACACCCAGGAGGAGACACCACATCTAGAGCATGTTGCACACCCTCCTGAGCCCTACACAATGGCCACCTCACTCACTTCTCACGGACCAGCAACTTTCTTTTCTTTTTTTCTTTTTTTTTTCTTGAGACGGAGTCTCACTCTTGTCACCCAGGCTGCAGTGCAGTGGTATGATCTTGGCTCACTGCAACCTCTGCTTCCTGGGTTCCAGTGATTCTCCTGCCTCAGCCTCCTAAGTAGCTGGGATTACAGATGCCCACCACCACGCCCGGCTAATTTTCTTTTGTATTTTTAGTAGAGACGGGGTTTCACCATGTTGGCCACACTGGTCTCAAACTCCTGACCTCAAGTGATCCACCTGCCTTGGCCTCCCAAATCGCTGGATTACAGGTGTGAGCCACTGCACCCAGCCAGCAACTGTCCTCTCAGGCAGTCTTGCTCTTGCATAGACGCACATATTAGTTCAGCTCACCTCCCATTTGCCTCTTTTGGTTGCTTCAGCAAACTCTCCTATTTTCCCAATGGAAATGTATAAATAACCAGTTGAACTGAAGGATCCAAAATAATAATTTGAGGCTACTCTTGAAGCCCATTCATAAGCAGTCCTTAGAGGAAAAAAAAAGGGGAGTTCAAGTTTGAAGGAAAAAAATACAAATTGGGAACCTCATGGTTTGAAATTTGAAACAAACAAAAACATTTATTGCTCTTAGGTTGGTTGGTCCTACAAATCTTGATCAATGTTTAATGCAATCTAAAAGCAAAACAAAAAGTAAATATTCCTTAATACAATTAGAACTGTGAAAAGGCACAAGCCAAAGAAATAAACTTTAGGTAACTTCTATGTGACTACATGAATGAAACTTTTTGGGAGTTTCAGATGATTTCAAATGATACTCAAATTGAATATAACCATAAATTATGTTCTCAAAGTAGTTATTGTTCCATCCTTTCTTCTACTTCTCTTACTATGCATTCTCATCCTTCTTGTAGGCTCCTCTTCCTGTGGCCATCCCTTCAATGTTAGAATTGCTAATGGTTCCTCCCTGAGCCCCCAGGCCTTCACACACTGCACTCTCTCCTAGGTACCTTACTCAATCCCCTTGCTTCATTCAGCACATATGCCCATGACTGCTGAATTTATATCTCCGGCCTGGGCCCCTTCCTAACATCAACTGTTCTTGGCTGTTTTCACCTGCATATCTCAGAGCCACCTGAGAGTCAACATCTCTGCAACTGAAGCCATCATTTTTTAAAAACCTGCTTCCTCTTATGTTCATCAACTCATCAAATGTTAACACTCTTAACTCAGTAGCCCAAGGAAGACATTTAGGCTTCATCCTGACCCTGCCCCGCACTGATCCTGTAAGCCAATCTTAAATCCACTCAGTTCCCTCCATCTCTGCTGTCTAACCCTAGTCATCTTACATCTGGATCAGTGCAATAACTTCCTAAGTGGTCTCCCTTTTTCCACTCCTGCTCCACACCAATCCTCTCTCCACCTTATAAAAACACAGATTGAATCTTTAAGTCCTTTCAATAACTCCTACTGCACTTAAGTCCAAAATCCCTAAGGCAACATACAAGACCCAGTGTGCTCTGCCTTTATCCACCTCTCCAGCTTAAAATCACACCATTTTCCTAGCTCCATGGACGTTAGCCATTAATACTGGATGACTTCAGTCCCTTGAAAGCATTTTGCTGTCTCTTTCCTCTGGGCTCATCTCAGGCTAATTCCTTGAACTTCACCTCCTGAGGAAGACTTGTCCAGCCCAGGTCAGGTCTCTCCCTACTCTGTCCCTCAAAGAAGCTTCCCCATTGGCCCACGGCCCCCAAGGGCAGAAGCCCAATCCATTTTGTTCATTGGCATTTTCTAGCTCCCTGCATAGTGCCAAATCATAGCTGACCTTTAATAAAACTTTAAACAATTAGCACTGAGTCTGTGCAGCTCCATTTTCTGAACAGCTCTTGAAAACAACATTTACTTCAGGCCATCGACATCTTGTCCCCTAGATTACTACCTCCTAAGCCATCTCCTGACACCTACTTCTCCATTTTCTTCCCCACACTGTTACCAGATGGTCTTTGCAAAATGTAGCTCTCATCATATGAGTCTCCACTGCCTTCAGGATAAAATCTAAGCCTCTGAACAGAAATGACAAGTGCTTTCATGGTCTGGCCCCTGCTTTCTCCCTGGCCTCAGCTCTCACCCCTCCCTGCCTCACTCCCTCTACACGCTCTCCTATCTGGGTCTTCACACCTTCCATGCTCTCTGCCTGGAGCACTATCCTCAGCCTCCCATGCCACCAGTGAGTAGCAAATCATTAGCTTCCTTCCCTGACTGAGGTTCCTCAACTGTGCTGGCTGTCCCCCCTTGTCCGTGTACACCAATTAAAGTGACCAAAATGTACCCTTCTTCCAGGACAGTCCTGGCTTACATCTGCTGATCCGGCTCTCATTCTCAAAAGCATACTGGTTTGGACAATAAATTATGTGGTCCCACTAACCATGACTATTAAATGTTCATCTAATTGTCTGTTTCTCCCCTGACAATAAACTCCATAAGGTCAAAGCCATCTGCCTTATTCACCACAGCATCAGGCACAGTGCCTGGCATATGGAAGATGTGGCATGTTTCTTAAATAAACAAATGTACTTACATACTGGAGAAGCATGCATTCTCATTAAGGCATTAATTTGGTTCCAGGGTTTGCTACTGAGAACAAAAATCGTGCCCCCCACACCAAATTTAAAGATTATATATTTCACAAAATGATTTTAAAACATATTTTGAAGAGGTTTTGAAGTCACAGATACGGAGATATAGATAAGCCAGTGACACACTTCACAAAAGGGCAGAATGCCAATTAGGAATATAATCCGCAACCAGGGAACTGATTTTCTTTCTCTGAAGCAAAAGGCCTATTTGCCAACCAATCCTGGCCTAGCCTCATTTTCCCTAGGCTTTACCTAAGTAAAAAAAATCAAAAACAAAAACAAAAACGAGTTTTTTCACAAAACACACTGATACTGACATCAGAAAACATTGGTTCATCAAGTTCTTCCACTCTGCTCAAGTTAGGTGCTCCATAACGATCGCTGATTTCAGCTAGTGTTTTGCCTGAGTCTAGTGTTGCTTCCTACAATCAAAAAATTGATTTTTACTTTTAAATGATTTCAAAATTAATACATTACTTTTCTTTCAATTTTGATTAAAAATTTTCTGATTTATAACATTAAAATTCAACATTATTAATTAGTGGAATTAACCAATTTCTGTTAATGACAAGAGAATTCTGGTAATGAATTGAGTATCCTAGAATGCAAAGCTACAATTCTGGTAATAAATACTAGAACTTTTTTTAAAAATACCTGCAGAAATTTAAAATAATTGTAAGTAATTATGTGGTAAATAGCTTCAATATCTCAAGAGAGCCTAGTTTTTAAAAATCCAAACACAAACTGAATGTCCAATTTTTACCTATTGTGAGATTTTGCTTCAAAGCACATTATTTGTGACTTGTTATCACCGGAAAATATACATGGACTATCAGTTTTGATAATATACTTGCTAAAAATTTAGCTACTTATGCATCAAAATTAAGCTTTACATTCTAGGATACTCAATTCATTTCACATAACATAGAATGACTTTTTCTTCTCACCTCTGAATGTAGAATATCTTCATTCCTAACTAGATTTTCCATATTCATTCTCATCTCCTATAATATATAAAAATTAAGAAAATACTTTGAATATACTCCATTTTGATTTCATGTTTAATTTTTGGCATTTTTACTTTTACACAATGCTATGATGAATTTAAAGCAAAAATGCTGTCACTCTGAAAGAGAATGATCTGATTACACATTACAAAACTGCAGATCACAGTCTTATTTAATACTCTATACTAATAGAAGGCAACCATGTTTTATATATAATTAAATAAAAGTTTTTTAAAAATGAAATGGACTGAAACAGTCAAACTGAAGCCAAATTATCTGCCAATATAAAAAGTGACAAAATAAAAATTATAATAGAACCTTAGAACAAGAGATTTTTAAGGAGAAAACCACACTTAAGTAGAGTTTTGCACATACCGAGAAAGAAGTAAACACTTCTACAGGAACTAATCTGGCCCAATGCACAAGTCCTCCCACAGGACCTGAGCAATGCCCTCT
Source organism: Homo sapiens (assembly GCF_000001405.40). Lineage (NCBI taxonomy): Eukaryota > Metazoa > Chordata > Mammalia > Primates > Hominidae > Homo > Homo sapiens. The sequence continues at coordinate 80,339,613 of NC_000010.11, forward strand.
TTAATACTCTGAGCACTGCAGTAGGAATATACTGCCCAATAAGGGAGGCCTCTTTCTGAATGTGAAACATTCTTCTAGTCAGCCAAACCTTGCTATGCCATCTACCTTTTCATTCTAAAGCAGCAGGGTGGCCTAACTGACCCTGAGCTGATTCGTTTTGGCTGCTAGAAGACCAGTGATTTCTTGATCATACATATGGTCACCCTAATGATAGGGACATAAACAGCACTGTTTTCCCAAGACCACTCCATTTTCCTGGTAACTTCTTATCCAGCATCCACAAGGCTATATGGGGAACATCCATATTCTTATAGGACTATGCTCCCCTGCCACAGAGATGGATATTTGACACAAACTAAGCCAGTCAGAATCCTTCTCCAAGATTCTTTTCTTAACTGAAACTAAAACAAGGCATCCATTCCTCTTAGATGGTAGAAGCCACAACATTCTAAGCCTCAGAAGCCGTTAAGGCCCATGTTCCCTACCCATGTGCAGCAAAGCAGCCCATAGTGAAAGAGCGAAACTAATAACCAGGGAGCAGCAGAGGGGAGAGCCCTGGTAGCATCTGATTCTCTTGCTCCCAAAGTCTGAAAGGCCCAGTGATACCAGAGTCCTTCACAGTTTATGTGTTAAACCCTTCCTTCAACCCAGAATCCTTCTAGCAAACTTCCCTTTGCACATGATAGTTTACATTGCGAGTCTGCAGCCATAAGAAGGCCAAGGGAAAGCACATGAGTGGACTCATCTCTGAGCAATGGGCGAGGGAGTGGTACTTTGCAGGGGACTACCTATGCTATGGTGAGGGATGATAAGCCTATAGAAATAGGAATTACTAAAGTTATTCTGGCAGTGGTCACACAAGCTGATGATGTCTGGAGATAGTAAAATAACATGAGTGTGGCTCTCTGGAGCCATAAAATAGAGACCAATCCTTCCTATGGACTTTGAAGCACTTTAATGTAGCTATCAGGTCACTTTGATTAAAAATACTTTAAATTCCTTTATTTTGATCACTGCCTTCTTGATATGTTCCTGTATTTTCTCTTTCAGTTTAGATCCGTGAATCTTTTTCAAAATTTCTTTAATTTTTAATTTTTACTGATATAAATAGCTGTACATATTTACGATGTACATGTGATATTTTGATACAAGCATACAATATGTAATGATCAAATCAGGATATTTGAGATATCCATCACCTTAAACATTATTTCTTTGTGAATCTTAAAGAGAAAGGGGCTGCTTGTGTATGTGTGCATACAGGCATATCCCTGTGCTCACACTACACTCAGACTAAGACCGCATCAGCATCTGTATTTTTTAAAACTATGTATAGGGCTTTTATCCTTTTAAAAAAAATCTCACTTTTTGATTTAATTCACCATTCACACTTTTTAAATATTGCTTTAATAAATGATTCTCTCATCTAAGCATCAATAAACATAATGAACATTGTCTATAAAACCTGCTTCTTTTTTCAGCTTTAATTATGGAATAAAAAGGGGGAGAAACATTTGATTAAGAGATAGTAGCTATAAACTCAGTCATCTAGAATATTGGTCTATATGACTCATAGCTTTTGGATGCAGGAAATATGGGTCAAACTAGAGACCTGACATGATTGTATCATGTCAGCTTGGACAACATGGCAAAACCCCATCTCTACTAAAAATACAAAAAATTAGCCAAGCATGGTTGTGCGTGCCTGTAATCCCAGCTACTCGGGAGGCTGAGGCTCGAGAATTGCTTGAACCCGGGAGGTGGAGGTTGCAGTGAGCCGAGATCACGCCACTGCACTCCAGCCTGGGTGACAGAGTGAGACTCTGTCTCAAAAAAAAAAAAAAAAAAAAAAGAAAGAAAGAAAAAAGTTACTGCATAGTTTATTTTAATGAAAGTCCATGTATGAACATATTTTAAAATGTAAATTCTTGTTGTTAATACATTAACATAAAGACATATACTACTGCCTCCGAGATTGGAATACCCTCAATATTCAACATCAGCTACTGTAACTAGGAACAGCTAACTCCTGACTAAAATGTTGAGGGTATCACTATTAGAGAACCCTACTGCTCACAGAGAAGTTTCACAAACATGATTGTATTTGATTGTATAAGAATCCAGTGAGACGGCCAGGGGCGCTGGCTCATGCCTGTAATCCCAGCACTTTGGGAGGCCAAGGTGGGTGGATCACCTGAGGTCAGGAGTTCGAGACCAACCTGACCAACATGGAGAAACCCTGTCTCTACCAAAAATACAAAATCAGCCGGGCGTGGTGGTGCGTGCCTGTAATTCCAGCTACTCGGGAGGCTGAGGCAGGAGAATCACTTGAACCTGGGAGGCCGAGGTTGCAGTGAACCGAGATTGTGCCATTGCACTTCAGCCTGGGCAACAAGAATGAGACTCCGTCTCAAAAAAAAAAAAAAAAAAAGGAACCAGTGAGACATTGCTAATAGTATTATACTGCTAGCTCTAGTTTTGAAACAGGTAAACTGAGACTGAAAAAGGTTATGAGACTTGTTTAGCTTACACAGCTAGTATGTGGCATGTCTTCAGACTACAAATCCCATGGTCCTTCTGCTAACAGCTGAAATAAACAGTTTGAAGATTCTAGAGAGTTTTAAATAAAACTGACATTTATAAAACTTCAAATTACCTTGCCTAATTGTTCTTGAGCTCTCTGTAGTTCTTGTATTCTCTGCCTCTCCTTTTCTTGCATTTCCAACTCTAGCTGCAATGCCAGCTGTTGCTGAATATTCAGAAATATGTCATATTACAGTTAGATTAATTGCAAGATAATTAAGTTTATACCCACCTTCATTTCAGAAACTTACAATACATGGTCACATCCAACTAATACTTTAGTTTCTACAAATGCTTCCTGAAGCATAAAATTTTTAAAAAAGATTTTAATCTTCCTTAATTGCAAATTATAGAAAGCACAATTTGTACAAAATTATTTTCCCTTTTCTTCTTAAAGTAACAAATGAGATTGCAACAATTTTCCAGATAAATTTCTTTAAGCATAGATGGGTCTTCAAATAGCCACACACTGGTTGTGGAAGAGTGGGTGAGAAACTCTTCAGAATATCATCTGATGGCTCATGCCTGTAATCCCAGCACTTTGAGAAGCCAAGGTAGGCAGATCATCTGAGGTCAGGAGTTTGAGACCAGACTGGCCAACATGGTGAAACCCTGTCTCTACTAAAAATACAAAAATTAGCTGGGCAGGGTGGCACATGCCTGTAATCTCAGCTACTCGGGAGGCTGAGGCAGGAGAATCGCTTGAACCTGGGAGGTGGAGGTTGCAGTGAGCCGAGATTGTGCCATTGCATTCCAGCCTAGGCAACAGAGTAAGACTCCCTCTCAAAAAAAAAAAAAAAAAAGAAAAGAAGAAAAAAGAATATCATCTGAAATCATTACTAACCAACAATATATTTGCTCCCAACTCAGCATATCTGTCACACTAGAATAGGGTTCAGCAATAAAGCCTGTGGGCCAAAGCCAACCCACCTCCTGTTTTTTATAGCTTACAAAGAAAGAATGGCTTTTACATTTTTAAATAGAAAAAATTTAAAAGAAATAATATTTCATGACATAGGAAAACGGTATGAAATGTAAATTTCAGCATCCTTAAAGCTTTATTGAAACACAGCCATGCTAATTTGTTTACGTATTGTCTACGAGCGCTTTTGTGCTGCCATAGCAGAGTGTAGTAGTTATAACAGAGACCACATGTGGTGCACTCACCACTTTGCCTGGCTGCCCAGCACACTACAAACCGCAGTAACATCATTGTAACAGCAGTGTTTGGAGTGCCATGGTATCACTATACTGTGACATTTAAAAAAATTATATCCATTATGTCAAAACAAGAAAGCCAGGGATGGGTGGCTTATTCCTGTAATCCCAGCTACTCAGGAGCGAGGCAGGAGGATTACTTGAAGCCAGGAGTTCAAGACCAGCCTGGGCAGCATAGCGAGACCCCCATCTCTAAACAAAATTTTGAGAAAAAAAAAAGAAAAATAGTGAATTTTGAATGTCGCACTTTTAAGGCACACTAGAGTGTGTATTATTTTGTCATCAAATTAAATGGCAAAACATGTTTCTTGCTATACAGTGCCACTGTACCAAAAGAATATAATAAATATCAACATTACCAGACTAAGCACTCATCACAATAGTCCCAGCTCACAGAGCACAAAGGCCAAAAAAAATTAGAAAATGTAAAACAGAATTGGCTGGGCATGGTGGCTCACACCTGTAATACCAGCACTTGGAAGGCCTGAGGACAGGAGTTCAAGACCAGCCTGGCCAACATGGTGAAACCCTGTCTCTACTAAAAATACCAAAAAAAATTACGCGTGGTAGCAGGTGCCTGTAGTCTCAGCCACTTGGGAGGCTGAGGCAAGAGAATTGCTTGAATCTGGGAGGTAGAGGTTGCAGTGAGCTGAGATCGCACCACTGCACTCCAGCCTGGGTGACAGAGCGAGACTCTGTCTTAAAAAAATAAAAATAACAAAAACAGAATTATCACAGCAGAATTTATTTACAAAAATTAAAAATGAAAATAAGTCTGCAACAAAAGTAGGGTTCCAAGAGGCTCATTTGTTATGAAAGCAAGGAAAGATATTTACCAATGATGAGTGAATTAAAACATGTTTTATTTCAGTGGCCAAAAAAAATGTGTCCAGGAAAAAACAAACTTGTCTAAGATTTTAGCCTTTTGGTGAGAGCAGCTGCTCAGAGTTGACACTGGGAGCAACATCAGTAGTCAACTAATAACAAGGCACATGATTCTGAGTGGCTTTCCTTGGCTCCTGATAAGCAGACAGATGTTCCCAACACTGCTCAGTTGTTGTTTATGGAAAGGGTCAATGCTGAGTTTGAAGTGACTGAAAAACCAAACCTCTATGAATAGTCTTTGATATGGTTTGGCTATGTCCCCATTCAATTCTCAACTTGAATTGTATCTCCCAGAATTCCCAAGTGTTGTGGGAGGGACCCAGAAGGAGTTAACTGAATCATGGGAGCTGGTCTTCCCTGTGCTATTCTCACGATAGTGAATAAGTCTCACGAGATCTGATGGGTTTATCAGGGGTTTCCACTTTTGCTTCTTCCTCATTTTCTCTTGCTGCCACCATGTAAGAAGTGCCTTTCGCCTCCCACCATGATTCTGAGACCTCCCCAGCAATGTGGAACTGTAAGTCCAATTAAACCTCTTTTTCTTCCCAGTGTTGGGTATGTCTTTATCAGCTGCTTGAAAATGGACTAATACAGTCTTCATGGAACAATTACAGACAAGAGCATTTTCAAAGTCGTGTAGAAACACTGATTCAATACAACCTGCAGTGAAATCTGCTAAGATGTGTCATAGCTGACAGTGATAAAAATACATGTGGAATAGAAAAAGGCTGAGCTGAACAAATTTACAAAGCTCATGAGAAAATAGTGTTTAAAGCCGGGAAGTGTTCATCATATTACTCAACAGCAGCTACTCTGTGAAAGTATTTGAATCTATTATGTGTTATTGATCCAGCAGTGTCAACAGTGACCTTCATTCACTCTTGTAAACTGGACCATCAATTCTGTGAATTTTTGTCAGAAACAGAAGCTGAATATATCCTGATGTCCTACCACACAGCAGTTCCATGGCTTAACAGTTATATTATGAATTTTTGAGCTCAGGGTCAAGATTTAACTTTTTATTGTGTAAATTGAAGATGCATATAATGTTTTGATATATATAGTGAATGCTTACCACAGGTAAGCAATTTCAATATCCATCATCTTAGACAGTTACTTTTGTATGGTAAGAGCACCTAAAATCTACTCTCTTAAAAATTTTCCAGTACACAATACAATCTTATTGGCTATCATCCTCATGCTGTACTTTAGATCTCTACATTTATTCATACTACACAATTGCAATTTTGTACATTTTGACCTACATCTCCTCATTCTTCTTCCAGGCCTACCCCCACTCCACCTCTTGGTAACCACTGTTCTATTCTCTCTTTTTATGTATTCAACATTTTTTTTTTAAGATTTCTACATAGACAGCATGTGGTATTTTTCTTTTGATGTCTGGTTTATTTCACTTAACATCATGTCCTTCAGTTTCATCCATGTCATCACAAATGGCAGGACCTACTTCTTTCTTAAAGCTGAATAATATTCTTTTATATATACATATATGTGATACATATATGTGAGATATATATATACAAGATATACATGAGAAATACATCTTACGTTTTTTCAAGACAGGGTCTTGCTCTGTCACCCAGGTGGGAGTGCAGTGGCACTGCCTCAACCTCCAGGGCTCAATTAATCCTCCCACCTCAGCTTCCTGAGTAGCTGGGACCACAGGTGCATGCCATCATCATCATGCCTGGATAATTTATACATTTTTTCTAGAGATGAGGTCTCCCTATGTTGCCCAAGCTGGTCTCGAACTCTGGACCTCAAGTGATCCTCAGGCCTCGGCCTCCCAAAGTACTGGGATTACAGGTGTGAGCCACTGTGATCAGCTCACAATTTCTTTATCCAGTCATCCACTGACAGACATTTATGTTGTTTCCAAATCTTGGCTATTGTAAATAATGCTGCAATGGACATGGGAGTGCAAGTAGTCTCTATAAGGTGCTGGTTTCATTTCCTTTGAATATATACTGAGAAGAGGAATTACTGGGTCATATGGTAGCTTTTAATTTTTTGAAATACACCCATACCATTTTGCATAATGGCTGCGCCAATTTGTATTCCCATCAACAGTGTAGAAGAGTTCACTTTTCTCCACACCCTCACCAATGTGTGTCTCTTCCCTTTCTTTTTTTTTTTTTTTTTTTTTTTTTTTCTTTTTTGAGACGGAGTCTCACTCTGTCACCCAGGCTGGAGTGCAGTGGCGCGATCTCAGCTCACTGCAAGCTCTACCTCCTGGGTTCACACCATTCTCCTGTCTCAGCCTCCTGAGTAGCTGGGACTACAGGCGCCCGCCACCACGCCCGGCTAATTTTTTGTATTTTTAGTAGAGACGGGGTTTCACCATGTTAGCTAGGATGGTCTCAATCTCCTGACTTTGTGATCTGCCCGCCTCAGCCTCCCGAAGTGCTGGGATTACAGGTGTGAGCCACTGCCCCCGGCCATGTCTCTTCCCTTTCTGATAACAGCCATCTTAGGCTGGTCACGGTGGCTCATGCCTGTAATCCTAACACTTTGGGAGGCCGAGGTGGGTGGATCACCTGAGGTCAGGAGTTCAAGACCAGCCTGGCCAACATGGCGAAACCCCGTCTCTACTAAAAATACAAAAAAAAAATTAGCCAGGTGTGGTGGCGGGTGCCTGTAATCCCAGCTACTCAGGAGGCTGAGGCAGGAGAATCGCTTGAACCCAGGGAGCAGAGGTTGGAGTGAGCTAAGATCACGCCACTTCACTCCAGCCTGGGTGAAAGAGCGAGACTCTGTGTCCGAAAAAGAAAAAAAAAAAGCAGCCATCCTAATAGGGGCGAGGTGGTATCTCATAGTGGTTTTGATTTGCACTTCCCTGATGACTAGCGGTGTTGAACATTACTTGTCACTTTTGATAATATACCTGTTGGCCACTTTTATATCTTCCTTGGAGAAATGTCTATTTAGGTCCTTTGCCCATTTTTTAATTGGGATCCTTTTTTTTTTTTTTTTTTTTTTTTTTTTTGCTATTGAGTTTGCATTCCTTATATATTTTGGAGATTAACTCCTTATCAGACCTTATCAGATATATGGTTCACAAATATCTTCTCCCAATCCATAGGCTGCCTTTTTGTTTTGCTGATTGTTTGCTGTGCAAGAGCATTTTAGTTTGACCTAGTCCCATTTGTTTAGGTTTGCTTTTATTGCCTGTGCTTTTGGTGTCATACCCAAAAAATTATTGCCAAGACCAATGTCAAGGAGCTTTTTCTACATTATGTTTTCTTCCGGGAGTTTTACAGTTTCAGGTCTTCCATTTAGGTCTTTAATCTATTTTGAACTGATTTTTGTGTATGGTGGAAGACAAGGATCCAGTTTCATTCTTTTGCATGTGGATATCCAGTTGTCCCAACACCGTTCATTGAAGAGACTATCCTTTTCCCTTTGTGTTTTCTTGCAGGGCTTGTCAAAAATTAGTTGACCGTATATACTTGGGCTTATTCCTGGGTTCTCTATTCTGTTCCACTGGTCTATGTGTCTGTTTTTATGCCAATACCATACTGTTGTAATTACTATGGCTTTGTAATATAATTCTGGATCAAGTAATTTGATAGTTCCAACTTCGTTTTTCTTTCTTAGGATTGCTTTGGCTATTCAGGGTCTTTTGTACTTCCATACAAATTTTAGAATTGGGTTTTTCTGTTTCTGTGAAGAATGCCATTGGAATTTTGATAGGGATTGAGATGAATCTGCAGATTACTTTAGGTAGTATAGACATTTTAACAATACTAACTCTTCTGATATATGAACACAAGATATCTTTCCATTTATTTGTGTCTTCCTCAATTTTTTGCATTAGTGTTTTACAGTTTTCAAGGTATAGATGTTTCACCTCCTTGGTTACATTTATTCCTACGTATATTATTCTTTTTGAAGCTATTATAAATAAGATTGTTTTCTTGGTTTCTTTTTCGAGTAAGTTATTGGTAAACAGGATTTAAATTTTTCTTAATGAGAAGAAATACTCCCAACCACTATTATCAAACATTAAATGGCTTTGGAAATTAGCTTTGGCTGCAGACTTGATAATGTTTCTTAATTCATTTTAAAATTACATGGCAAAACATCACTCATATGTAAAACTTACACTGCAGTAAACTCACTTCAACAACAGCTCATGTTGTTTGAATCACAAGTAACGTAAAGCTGCTTTATACACGTCCAGTGCTGTCAAAACTAGAACAGGATATTAGATCTCCGTTCCCAAACAAATTGTCAGTGGATGTATTTTCCAACCTCGAACTACAATTCCAGAGTGTTTGTAAGGCCTCAACGTAAGTGCAAAGGAAATTTCCATATTCTGAAATCCATTTAACTATGCAATTAAGAAGCTTCCATCAACCTTCAGTTGGAAGTGGCTATTCTACAAAGTAATGCATGCTAAAAGGCAAACAGCAAGAGAAAAACAAAATTCTAGAAATACCTTCTAAGGAATGAATATGCTTAATTTAAATTATACACACATAGACTGATAGCAACTTTTGACAGTAACTATGTAAAAAGACATTTTCAAGGATGAAATGCATAAAACCTCATTACAGATCAGCATTAGCAGATAAACTTTTTTTTTTTGAGGCGGAGTCTCGCTCTGTCGCCCAGGCTGGACTGCAGTGGCGCGATCTCGGCTCACTGCAAGCTCCGCCTCCTGGGTTCGCGCCATTCTTCCCCCTCAGTCTCCTGAGTAGCTGGGACTACAGGAGCCCACCACCACGCCCGGCTAATTTTTTGTATTTTTAGTAGAGACGGGGTTTCACCGCGTTCGCCAGGATGGTCTCGATCTCCTGACCCTGTGATCCGCCCGCCTCGGCCTCCCAAAGTGCTGGGATTACAGGCGTGAGCCACCGCGCCCGGCCCGCAGATAAATATTTTAAAATAGATTTTGATGATAGACCACACTAACGCTGAACTTCAACCAAGTGAAATGTTATCTTTTAAAAACTTTTTTAAATTCTCAATAGTAAACCTATCTAATAAAAAATTTATATTCAGTGATTATTATTTGAATTTCATCAATAAAACATTTGCAAAAATTCATTTTCTCTCTTGTTATTCCTACATAATATGCCATAATGCCTTCATAATATCATCAAATTTGCCTCTTGGCCTGTAAAGCATAAAATGTCTACTATCTGACAATGCATTCTAAAATAATAAATTTTTACAAGTAAAGATATAATAAAGTGCTTGATATTTTATTTGCAAAAGCTTTTAAAGGTAATTTCTTAGTATTCCTATATTATCACTACTAAGATAAAAGTGATGGGGTAGGTAGCTGAAACGCAGAAACAGTTTCAATCAACTTTCAGACATTGGTAGAGGAAGTTAAATAACTCCAATCTCTCAACAATAATGCAAAGTGTATTTGTTAAATAACAGTCAGATTGATCAAAACAACCAGCTTCTTGACATTTTCAAGAAACTTCCAAAACCTAATCCCCTTCCTCACACATGAGCAAAACCACTGAAAGCCATTCAAAACAAATAAACAAAAAAGCTCTTACTTCAAAACTAAGCTCTTACATAGAAAATGGCAATAAAAATACTTCCCTGTTCACAAAAAACTAGGCTTGTGGAGAGTGCCTAAAATATCAAGGAATTTCAAGTCAGTGGTACTGACTATGAGGACAACTGCTTTTGCAACCAGCAAGGAAATAACCAGAGTTCCCAACCTCCAGCTTACATGACTCAGAAGGCACCCAGAGGCCTCTCTGTTTTTCTTCATCTCAGCCACACTCTCTCAAGCCTTTCTCTGTTGATCGATCTCTCCTATCTATTTCTGCACACCAATCCACTCCGCTAACTGGCCATAACATCTCCTGTATAATATTATTTTCTCTTCCGCCCTACTACAATACTTAGGATTCAATGCACAGTGGATTAGTTCATACCGGTCAACATAATATGGCTAGAGAAACTTGTTATTGCTAGTATTGCCAAATTATGCATAAGTAGGATAAAGTAGTCGAGCCGAAGAGAGTTATGTATCTCCCACTTACGATGTAATTGCCTAGGGGAAGGAGAACCTCTGGGAATTCTCTTATTTTTGATAGACAGGAACAGATACCAGCTATAGGAGCTGTAAGAGGAAGGATGGCTCCTCATCCACAGTTGTGGCTGCTGCAGGAAGCACCTGGCCTGTTTGGATGACAGTTGACACCCAACTCAACACTTTTTAACCTCCCTTCAAGAATAAGCCAATGACTGAAAATGAAGACTCAGAAGGAGTAGAGTTTTCAACAGCCCTATCCTTCTAAGGGGCCTGCAGTTTTCTACCTCAATATCAGGGATAGGAGGTTAGTCAGAGAAGCTATTTGCCAGGTCTATATTTTTCTTTCTATCCACATACTCAAATAATAGGCTTCTTTCCCCTTTTTAAATATGTAAATTTGAGTCAAGACTCTGGGGTTAAGTATTATCTGGTAGAACTATGGAAGTGGCTTAAATTTAGCTTAGAAGCTCTCTATAAATTAAATCAGTCCAGAAGCCATTCTGGAACTTTCCTCTCTCCAGCTTGTACTCCATGACCCATCCCTTCAACAATTCCCTTACCAATATCTTCAGCTCCCTAATCATGCTACCCCAATCCTGCTTCAATTAAAAGGTCTGCCTGCTCCACTTCTTCACTCAGACATCTGGGCCCAAGTGAAGAGAATCACATCATCACATAACCAAATCAAATGGCACGATTATCAGTACTTGATCTTCAACTGCTACCAAGTAATGCTAAATTATATCCCTCAACTCTCTCTTCCATTCTCCAAAGCTGTCATTTCTAACTTCACCACTCTGCCCACACCTCCTACCTTACAACCTTGTTCTTAGCAAGTGAACATGGTGCCTACTTCATAAAGAAGACAGAAACAGTTGTACGCAGAAGGTGCTTCCACCAACACCATTCTCTCCTCTTTCCCTTGATTATAATCAAAGAAGTGCCTTCTCCCTGCCCAACCTATGATCCAGGCCCATTTCCTCTCATCTCCATGGTGAGCTGACCCTACGAATCATCCACTCTATTTCCTAATGTCACCCACTCACTCCTCCACTACTGTGCTCTTAAATCAAAACAAACACAAAAACATCTCTCCTTGCTATCAAAATCTCCTTGAAAGCATTGCCTACATTTTCCACCTCCCCTGCCTAAGTCCACCCACCCCCACCACTCCATCCACACTGTTCCCGCCAAATTACGGTGGCCTCTCATGAACACTTTTCCATTCAGCAATAGATATGGTTGACCACTCAGATCTCACCAAAACAGTCTTTCCCTTTGCCTTCTGTGACAGCACACTCTGTATTTTCCTCTTACCTGGAGGTATGGCATCTTTTGTATCAGCAACAACAGTGTGGAAAGGAATGTGTATATGTGTATACAAGAATGCACTCAGGAAAACTCATGGCTGCTGCTTCTCCAGCAAAGAAGACACACACATCCATAAAGATGAAGATATTAGGAAGCCATATCTAAATAACTGGAGCTGGGAAGTTTATCAACATTTAGGCTGTGCCATGCTGAGGTTGGCATCGTTAATTCCAGTCCCCTCTGAACTCTCCTACTTGCCTCACCTGCTGAAGTAAGAGCTCCTCTGCTTTGAGCCTCTCCATCATTTCCTGCTCCATCAGAGCTAATTCTCTTTCACGCTCCAGCTTGGCCATTTCCTTTTGTCTCTAGCATTGTTTAAAAACAACAGCACACGACTTCTTAGCGAGAAAGCAATTTGTAAAAGCAATCTTGAAAGCACTTAATAGGAACAATTAGGGAAAGTGTTAAGCAAATTATAGCCCATCCCTGTGGAAATGATATAATAATTTGGGAAGATATTTTATCTGAATAATGAGCACAATATTAAAGTTATACATTGTGTATGATCACAAGTACATAAACGTAAATCTATAAATCTATAGAAAAAAGACTTCCCATGAAAGGAATTACCTAAAAATCTAAATAGAAGTCTTCTTTGGGTAATGTTTTCTCCTTCCTGCTTTTCATGTTGTTCAAGTTTTTGTATAATAAACATTATTTTTATAACAGAAAAATAATAATGTTAAACTTTTTTAAAAGCAGACAAGTTGGACCAGTTTTTTTTCTTCTAATTTCCTAGAAGGAGATTCCTACTTACCAGTTGTTCCATGGTCACATTTTCCTTATACTTGTAAATCCACAATGCTAAATATTCTATCGGATCCACTGGGCGAACTCTTGCCACTTCTGCAAGACCTTGAGTTAAACAGGCCCCAAGGTGCTTTTGAAGATATATTGACTCCATTTCTAACTCCTAAAAAGTAAGTGTTTTTGCATTACTGCAGGATATTTTCAATAAAGTCACTATAAAACTAAAGTCCAGTGAGGTGAACAAAGCCTTACATACACCCTGCCCTCAGTCATGGACACCTCCCATTGGGGGTGTCACAAGCAAGCTGGCCCCAGGAAACTTCTAATAGTTTCCAAAAGGGCTCCAAGGAAGTCACTACAACTAACATGGTTTCAAAATCCTGAAGGACTCTCAAGTCCAAGAGTCAGAAAAGAGATATTATCATTATTGATTCCAAGTTTACTTGATGCCAAGTAATGTGGGTCTCATGTAATCCTCACAACATACCTGAAAAATGGGTATCATCATCCCAGTGGGAAGATGAGCAAGCCCAGGCACAGACAGCGTAAGTGCACAGTTCAGGATCACACAGCTGGCAGATGAAGGAGACAGGGTTTGTACCCACCTCTTGATTCCAAAACCCTAACCCTAAAGACTACACTAAAATGTTCCTCCTAAGCCATGAGAGCCGTTTTTACAAAGCATCACAATAGTCCACCTTTTGAAAAAAAAAAATCCATAAATTTCCAAGGCCAAAGAATAAAAACTCAGCCTCCAAATAATAACATATGAAGCTCCTCACAATCTGGCCCCAATTTTCTTTTCAAGTTCACCTCCAGACATCATCTCTCCTGGCCCCAGCACACCCTGGGCTCTAATTCCATGGACATGTCTGGCTAATTTTTTTTGTATTTTTAGTAGAGACAGGGTTTCACTGTGTTAGCTAGGATGGTCTCGATCTCCTGACCTCGTGATCCGCCCACCTCGGCCTCCCAAAGTGCTGGGATTACAGGCGTGAGCCACCGCGCCTGGCCGACCAGATTGTTTTTAAAACAGAAAAGGAAAAATGGAGCAACCAATCTCTTTCAGATGCTTTGGAAAAATTGATCACCCTCAGATTACCCTTAATATTTTAAGAAATCGGCTGGGCACAGTGGCTCACGCCTGTAATCACAGCACTTTGGGAGGCCGAGGCGGGCGGATCACAAGGTCAGGAGATCGAGACCATCCTGGCTAACGGATCTCCTTCATCTGCCAGCTGTGTGATCCTGAACTGTGCACTTACTCTGTCTGTGCCTGGGCTTGCTCATCTTCCCACTGGGATGATGATACCCATTTTTCAGGTATGTTGTGAGGATTACATGAGACCCACATTACTTGGCATCAAGTAAACTTGAAATCAATAATGATAATATCTCTTTTCTGACTCTTGGACTTGAGAGTCCTTCAGGATTTTGAAACCATGTTAGTTGTAGTGACTTCCTTGGAGCCCTTTTGGAAACTATGTGAAACCCAGTCTCTACTGAAAATACAAACAAATTAGCTGGGCGTGGTGGCGGGCGCCTGTAGTCCCAGCTACTTGGGAGGCTGAGGCAGGAGAATGGGGTGAACCTGGGAGGCGGAGCTTGCAGTGAGCCAAGATCGTGCCACTGCACTCCAGCCTGGGCGACAGAGTGAGACTCTGTCTCATATATAAAAAAAAATATATATATATATATTTTTTCCTGAGAATCTGATGAAATGTAATCAATTGTTAAACAAATGTATAATGAATATTTGCCGGGCACAGTGGCTCACACCTGTAATCCTAGCACTTTGGGAGGCTGAGGTGGGTGGATCACCTGAGGTCAGGAGTTCGAGACCAGCCTGGCCACAATAGTGAAATGCTGTCTCTACTAAAAATACAAAATTATCTGGGCGTGGTGGCACATACCTGTAATCCCAGCTACTTGGAAGGCTGAGGCAGGAGAATCACTTGAACCCGGGAGGCAGAGGTTGCAGTGAGCTGAGATTGTGCCATTGCACTCCAGCCTGGGCAACAAGAGTGAAACTTCGTCTCAAAAAAAAAAAAAAAAAAAAGAATACCTATTATAGGTCAGGCACCATGATAGGTACTGGGAATACAAAACTATTGTGAATTGAATATCTGTGTCCCCCAAAAATCCATATGTTGAAATCCTAACTCCCAATGTGATGGTATTAGGAGCCTTTGGGAAGTGATTAGATCATTAGTGTGGAGCCGTCATGCATGGGATTAATGCCCTTATAAAAAGAGATGGGAGAGCGTGCTCTCACTCTCTGCCATCTGAGAATAAAACTAGAAGACAGCCACCTGCACACCAGCCAGAGGGTCCTCACCAGACACCAGAAATGCCAATGCCTTGATTTTAGACTTCCCAGCCTCCAGAATGGTGAGAAATAAATGTGTATTGTTTTTAAGCCACCCAGTGTTGGTAATTTGCTACAGCAGCGCAAACTAAAACAAAAACAGTCTCTGCCTTCATGGAGCTTATAGATGAGAAAGGAAGATAAATATTTAAATCAATAAATATGAAATTGCAGTTAAAATAAGTACTATGAGACCAGACAAGAGGAGTAGCTGATCAAGTCAGGAAAGTAAAAAAAAAGCTTCTTTGGGGGTGACATTTGAGCTAAGCTTACATTTACTGAAAAAAAAAAACAGTAAAATTAACACGACAAAGAAGAGAAGAGTCTTCTAGGTATGAGGAAAGGCCCTGATATAGGAATGAGCATGGCAATTACAGGGGATAGAATGCCACTGTGTCTAAACTTGTCCCTGGACAAATGCATCTAGCATTTTGCATAAAATTTCAGAGACAGTGACATCCTGGGGTCCGTCCATAACCCCCAATTTTTATTCTATGGATGAACCCCAGGATGTCAGTGTCTCTGAAATTTTATGCCATAACTATGTGCATATGCCATATGACAGTGGTGGGAGGGCAAAATGGTATAACTCCTATGGAGGAGAATTTGACAACATCTAGAAAATCACATATGCATTCACCCTTTGACTCATCAATCTTGCTTCTTGGATCCTATCTCAAAGATATAGTTGCAAAAATATGAAATGGCATATGCACACAGTTATTTGCAGCATTATTTACAATAGTCACACTGAAGCACCATCTAAATGTTCATCAAATTGGGGATTAATAAGAGCAACACAATGGATTATTATGCAGATGTACAAGAGAATGAAGAAACTAGAGAGTGATCTCTAAGACACAGAATAAAGAAAACGAGGTGCTGAAATTGTATATGGTCTGTCATCTTTTGTATTAGCAACAGCAGTGGGGAAAGGAATGTGTATGTGTGTATATGTAAACATAGTCATAAAAACTCTAAAAACGGAAAACAAACTGGCACAAATGAACCTAATTCCAAATGAGGTTGATATTGGTGTCTCAACCATACAGAGAAAAGAATTATTACAACTGACTTTGGAACACAGTATCTTCACTGTATTTCTTCAGTAGGATATACCTGAAAGACCAAAACGCTACACAGACATCTCAAAGTCATTTGAAGTGAAGTTAAAAAAAAAAAAAAAAAAAGGTGCACAGACTCCTGTTGCTGCTCCAGAAGGATAAAATGTGGGAAGGGAGGAAGGGGACCATTATCCCTAAAGAGAAAACTTCTGGCCTACCAGCGGGGCCAGGTCAGGGGAGGCTCTGTCTCGGATTTCTGGGCATATCAGTGGGACCCAGGCAAGGCCTGCCAACTCCCTTAGCATGTTCCTGTCTGTGAAACGAGGATAATACCCATCTCTCCTGTGGTAAGCAATGTTATTTTTCACATACACCAATAGGCATCTTGGCTCAACATAAGAAAGCCCTTTCCCACAGAAACAGCTGCCTCCAGCGTGAAGAAGGTGCCACAGAGATGGAAGGAGATTCCTTACCCACACCTGGGAGACAGCTAGCCAGCCAGCCAGCCAACTGGGCGGGGGCACCCGGGCAGGGGTGCCAGATACAGTATTGTATCTGGCAACCTCCCGGGGCGCTCAGTGTGGTTTTCCCACCCGGGAGTCTGGAAGGGTCTCCCGCAGCCCGCAGGAGACGCAGCGCTCCCCGCTCAGGGGGAGCAGGAGGACAGCTGGCCGCTTTCGGGAGCCCCAGGCGCGAAGCGGCCTCTCTCCGCCTCAGGTGAGTCCTGCTCGACGCCCAAGGCCCAACGGTCAGAACCGCCTCTGCCCGCCGGACCCAGCGAAGCTAGGGGAACAAATCCCAAAAACAGTTCGGGCCTTTCCGGTGCGCTCACCCCTACACACGCGCCTGCTCGCCACCCAGGAGCGGCGTCCCGTTGCCAGGCAACGAGAGCTCGCGCCTCAGGAGCCAGTGTAGGCGCCGCAAAGCGGAAGGGGCGCGCGGATAGGTGAGCAGAGGGCACGCGGTGGGCAGCGAAGGGGGAACGCGCAGCAGAGAGGAGAGGGCGTGCAGGAGTAGGAGCAGGCGGCAGAGTAGAGGGGGCGCGGCAGAGTAGAGGGGGCGCGGCAGAGTGGAGGGGGCGTGCAGGAGTAGGAGCCCGCCGCAGAGTAGAGGGGGCGCGGCAGAGAGGAGGGGGCGTGCAGGCGCGGGGCGCCCGGCAGAGAGAAGGGGTCGTGCGGAAGGGGGCGCGCGCCAGGGGAGGGGGCCAGAGAGGAGGGGGCGTTCAGGAGTCGGGCCTGCGGCAGAGATGAGGCGGTGTGCAGGAGGGAGAGCGCGCACGAGGGGGCAACGGGCAGAGAGGAGAGGGAATGAAAGAAGGGGAGCGTGGCAGAGAGAAGCGGGCGCGCTCCAGGGGGCGGGGTCCAGGGAGGAGGGGGAGCGTAGGATCGGGGCGGGAGGCAGAGAGGAGCGGGCACGCGGGACGGGCGTGTGCTCGTGAGGGGTCGAGGAAAGGCGTATGTGGAGGCGCGCGGGGTGGGTGAGCCGAGGAGACTTGCTACACAGAAACCTGGAGGAGTAGGGGCACACAAAAGAGCAAGGGACCCTGACTGGCAGCCCGGCATGCTCTGGGAGAGACAAAGAGGTGGCGGGCTTTGAGGAGGAACCAGGAAGGGCAGCCAATCGGAAAAGGGTGGAAGACCTTCCAGAGTCCCTGGAAGACCGTCACTGCAAGCTGCTAATAGCTTGGCAGTTTCACAACTCTGCACCTTTGCTCTTGCTGGTGACCTCTGCTTGGTTCCTTTCAGAACCAATTCGGGTGCCCCACCACCGGGAAGCCGTCCAGTCTCCACCAGGCCCAAACCCTTGCAGTCTTCCCTGGCCTAGTCGTCTGTGCATGTGCTAGCCTTTCCTGTGCTCTCTTTCAGCTTATGGGCGGGGCAGTGCCAGGCAAGAGAGGCCTTAATAGATGTTAGTTGAGCTAGTAAATGCCAGATTGGGCGTGGAAAAATCAAAGGGAAGCATGAGGGCAGGTGGCAGAACTCTCTCAATGAATAAGTCAAGAAATATTTACAGAGCTCCCAGTGTGCCAAGCGTGGGCGGTATACAGTAAACAAAGACAACCCCTATTCTTATCACCTTGCCTACTGAGTGCAAGTCCAGGAACTGTGTAAGCAGACCCTCAGAGGAGCTCTGGGAAACACTGAAAAATAGCCTCTCCCCCCATTGGTGAGTGTACCCTAAGTTGGTCTGAGTGGGCTTTAAAAGGCATCCCCTTGGCCAGGCGCGGTGGCTCACCGCCTGTAATCCTAGCACTTTGGGAGGCGGAGGTGGGCGGATCACCTGAGGTGAGGAATTCAAAACCAGCCTGGCCAACATGGAGAAACCCCATCTCTACTAAAAATACAAAAATTAGCCAGGTGTGGTGGCGCACACCTGTAATCCCAGCTCCTCAGGAGGCTGAGACAGCGGAATTGCTTGAACCAAGGAGGCAGAGATTGCAGTAAGACGAGATTGTGCCACTGCACTCCAGCCTGGGCGACAGACCAAGGCTCTCTCTTAAAAATAAAAAATAAAAGGCATCCCCTTGACTCCTTCCCCTCCAGCCCTCAGATTATGGCTCTATGCTGGCTCTACTGTCTTTGTACCATATTTTAGCGACTGTTGGGCAAACACATTTCCTTCAGATCATTGTTGAAAATGGGCAATTTAGAGTAGGGGGAGGTATGCCAATACGGCTTGCCACATGTAACCAGTGTGGCAGCCACCCCCTGACTAGAGAATGCAGAGTTGGTGATTCTGCCTTCGGGGAAGGACAGTTCTACAGTGATCCAGGCAAAGTAGATTGGTAACTACAGGTCGCTTGGAGATTTTATTAACATGCAGGTTCTGAATCTGTGGTGGGACCTGAGATTCTGCATCTCAACAAGTCCCAATGTGTCCAGAATTGGTGGGTTCTTGGTCTCACTGAGTTCTAGAATGAAGCCGTGGACCCTCACAGTGAGTATTACAGTTCTTAAAGGCGGCGTGTCCAGAGTTCGTTCCTTTTGATGTTCGGATGTGTTCAGAGTTTCTTCCTTCTGGTGGGTTGCTGGTCTCCCTTCAGAAGTGAAGCTGCAGACCTTTGCAGTGAGTGTTACAGCTCATAAAGGCAGTGCAGACCCAAACAATGAGCAGCAGCAAGATTTACTACAAAGAGCAAAAGAACAAAGCTTCCAGTGTGGAAGGGAACCCAGAGCAGGTTGCAGCTGCTGGCTCAGGCAGCCTGCTTTTATTCCCTTATCCGGCCCTACCCACATCCTGCTGATTGGTTCATTTTACAGAGAGCTGATTGCTCTGTTTTACAGAGAGCTGATTGGTCCATTTTGACAGGGTGCTGATTGGTGTGTTTACAATCCTTGAGCTAGACACAAAAGTTCTCCAAGTCCCCACTAGATTAGCTAGACACAGAGCACTGATTGGTGCATTTACAAACCTTGAGCTAGACACGGGGTGCTGATTGGTACATTTACAAACCTTGAGCTAGACACAGAATGCTGATTGGTGTATTTACAATCCCTTAGCTAGACATAAAGATTCTCCAAGTCTCCACTAGACTCAGGAGCCCAAATGGCTTCACCTAGTGGATCCCGCATCAGGGCTGCAGGCGGAGCTGCCTGCCAGTCCCACGTAGTGTGCCCGCACTCCTCAGCCCTTGGGCGGTCGATGGGACCGGGCACCGCGGAGCAGTGGGTGGCGCTCATCAGGGAGGCTCCGACAGCACAGGAGCCCACGGTGCGGGGGAGGCTCGGGCATGGCGGGCTGCATGTCCGGAGCCCCGTGGGGAGGCAGTAGAGGCCCGGCAAGAATTCGAGCAAAGTGCTGGCAGGCCGGCACTGCTGGGGGACCCAGCACACCCTCTGCAGCTGCTGGCCCAGTGCTAAGCTCCTCACTGCCTGGGGCCTGCAGTGCTGGCCGGCTGATCCGAGTGCGGGGCCCACCAAGCCCGCGCCCACCCGGAACTTGCGCTGGCCTGCGAGTGCCACACGCGGCCCCATTTCCCGCCCGCGCCTCTCCCTCCACACCTCCCTGCAAGCAGAGCCGGCTCCGGCCTTGGCCAGCCCAGAGGGGCTCCCACAGTGCAGCGGCGGGCTGAAGGGCTCCTCAAGCATGGCCAGAGTGGGCACCAAGGCCGAGGAGGTGCCAAGAGCAAGAGAGGGCTGCCAGCACGCTGTCACCTCTCACCCAGGTGATGGAATGCTGCTGGTCATCTGTCGTCAGACTAGCTTTGAGTAAGAGGGGTGTAGAAGTTTGTTTATCCAAATGCATTGGTTCAAGTGGGCCACACAGATTGGCAGGAGACACCACCCACCTCTGTCCCCACCCTCCATCACTACCCCACTCAATTTTTTTTTAATTCCCTTACAGGTCTTGGGGTCAGAAGTCCAAAATGAATCTTATAGAGCTAAAACCAAAGTGTCAGCAGGGCAGGTTCCTCAGGAGGCTCTGGGGAGAATCCATTTTCTTGTCTTTTCCAGCTTCTAGAGGATACCCTTGGCTCAAGGCCCTGAATCACATCGCTTTTTCTCCCTTGGCTCTGTCATCACCTTCCCTGTCTGACCGTACTGTGTCCCTCTTATAGTGACACCTGTGATTACATTGTTCCTACTCAGATAATCCAGGATAATCCCCCTATCTCAAGATCCTTAATTTAATCACAGTTACAAAGTCTCTTTTGCCATTTAAGGTGACATATTCATAGTTTCCAGGTATTCAGACATAGACACATTTGGGAGCCATTATTCAGCCCTAGAACAAGGACATTCTCTTACTCATATTTCCATTATTCAAAATTAAGAAATTTAACTTGGATAAATTATGTCACATAATCTACATTTCACATTCAGTTCAACCAATTTTCCCAACAATGCCCTTTATAGAATTCTTTCTTCTTCTTTTCTTTCTTTCTTTTTTTTTTTTTTTAGACAGGGTCTCGCTCTGTCACCCAGGTTGGAGTGCAGTGGTGAGATCTCAACGCATTGCAGCCACAACCTCCTGGGCTCAAGTGATCCTCCCACCTCAGCCCTGCCCCCAACCCCTCCAAGTAGCTGGGACTGCAGGTGTGTGCCATCACACCTGGCTAATTTTTGTATTTTTTGTGGAGACAGGGTTTTGCCTTGTTGCCCAGGCTGGTATCAAACCCCTGAGCTCAAGTGATCCTCCTGCCTCAGCCTCCCAAAGTGCTGGATTTATAGGCGTGCACCACCATGCCCAGCTGAATTATTTTTTCTTGTCCAGGCCCAATCTAGGATCATGTGTTACATGTAGTTATTATGGCTGTTCAATCTCCTTTGATCTATAACAGTTACTCTTTTTTTTTTCATACCCTCAACATTTTTAAGAGTACAGGGTAGTTGCTTTGGATTTATTTGATGTTTCTTCAATTACATTCAAATATTGCATTTTAGGCAGGAATCCACGGAAATGTTTTATGTACCATAAGAAGTGCATCACATCAGGAGGCAGTTGATGTCACTTTGTTCCTTTGTTGGTGATGTTTACTTTGATTACTTGGTTAAGGTTTTGTTGGCCAGGTTTTGCCACTGTAAAATTTCTGTATTTCCTTTGGAATTAATACTTAATTTGTGAGAAGAAACTTTGAGACTATGCATATATCTTATTCCTTGTCAAATGATCACCCAGGTTTAGCACTCATTGACTCATTGATGATCCTGCTTTGATTCAGTTATACTATGGTGGTGAGGAAATGGCAGTTTTTTAAAACTCCATTATTTTCCCCACATTTATTAGTTGGCATTCTACTTTAACAAAGAACTTTGCCTTCTCCCTTCTTAATCTACTTATATATTCTCATATGGACTCATGGATTCTTATTTTATTCTGTAAGTTATAATCCATTACAGTCACTATTTTAATGGTCAAACTGCCCCAGATTTGACTAGTAGGAGCCCCTTCAAGCTGGCTTCTCTGTCCCCAACGATTGTATTTTTTAGAATTTTCTTACTTTCTGGCACAACAAAATGTTCCAGGCTCGTTAGGCTTGTCCTGCCCCAGCCTTGGAATCAGCCATTTCTCCAAGGAGCCCTGATTCCTCTTAAGTGATGAAGGCTATTTACAAGCAAGGTTTATATGCTTAGCGTGCTCATTGCTACTGAAGTGTTTTGGTTTCAAGGCCCTTGCAGTGGAGAGAGCTAGGAAATATTTTTTCCTATGTCCATAAGATAGATATGTATAAGATAGATATGGATATCTGTCTACTTGTTTTTCCTTCCTTAAGCTAAAATATGAGAAGTAGGGGGACAAATTGAAAAATGCCTCCAGAAAATGTTAAGGCTAGATCTGAGCTTTTATTATTTGCTGGGCTCTTTTGGAATTAAAATGTGTCAACTTCAGGAATATGGACTCCGTCAGGAGGAGGCCAGGTCCTAGGTTGTTTCATGGCACAATCCTCCACTGAATATAACAGCAAGTAAGTGTTTGTTGGTTCTTTTGGGAAAGGTGTGATCCAGAAGCATCTCATATTTATCCTGAAA
Organism: Homo sapiens; assembly: GCF_000001405.40. NCBI lineage: Eukaryota > Metazoa > Chordata > Mammalia > Primates > Hominidae > Homo > Homo sapiens. The sequence goes on from NC_000010.11 coordinate 80,362,350, forward strand.
TAAATCTGAATTGGTTAGAATGTGTCTATTTTTAATATCAGATTAAGTTTGTAAAATAGTGTGACTTTGTTTTGATGTTTTCCAGGCTGCCAGGATGGAAACTAACTACCTGAAGAGGTGCTTTGGAAATTGCCTGGCCCAGGCACTGGCAGAGGTGGCGAAGGTTCGGCCCAGTGACCCAATAGAATACCTGGCTCACTGGCTTTATCATTACAGGAAAACAGCAAAAGCAAAAGAAGAGGTGTGTATGTGCACTGGGACTTAGGGAGGGCCCAGCTTTCCCAGAGTAATTTGAAAGCCAAGACACAAGGCAGGATTCTGGAGCTGGCCTGGGGAATTTCTTGGTTTATTTGACTTGCTCTTAGAGCCAGATATCCCTGAAGCATGGGGATCCTGGGGGCTAACTCAGAGGAGTGGAGCTTCAACTCAGACGAGCTGTGGAGTTGAAGGGTTTGTAACTACTAGCAGGCTAAAGCTAGTTACAAGAGGAAACTCAACAGGCCCAAAGAGCCCACAGCCCATATCAGTCCCCAGTGAGGGGGCCCCGTTTATAAGGCTTCCCTGGTTGCTGACCTGATTTGACTCTGTCACCTCACCCCAGAATAGGGAAAAGAAGATCCACCTGCAGGAGGAATATGACAGTAGCCTCAAGGAAATGGAAATGACAGAAATGCTGAAACAGGAAGAGTATCAGATTCAACAGAACTGTGAAAAGTGTCACAAGGTAGGGAGAAGGACTCAGCTTTGGGTTGCCACACACATCCCAGTGATGGACTCCAGGAAAGCCACAAGTCAGCCCAGTCCCAATCCAAGGCACATTAAGGGTCCCTTTAGCTTGATTTTCAATATATGTGCAAGTATTCACATATTTGCATATAAACCAATGTTATTGACAATCTTTGTTAATGAAAAAAGGAGATGTTAAAAGACAAATTTGTCTTAGATTTTAGGAAATACTCTGGTGTTACTGGTTTTAAAAAAAATCTGTTTTTTTTTTTTTTTTTTTTTTTTTTGAGATGGAGTCTCGCTCTGTTGCCCAGGCTGGAGCACAGTGGAGCGATCTCGTCTCACTACAGCCTCTGCCTCCTGGGTTCAAGTGATTCTCCTGTCTCAGCCTCCCGAGTATCTGGGACTACAGGCACATGCCACCACGCCCGGCTAATTTTTTTTTTTTTTTTTTAGTAGAGACAGGGTTTTACCATGTTAACCAGGATGGTCTTGATCTCCTGACCTCATGATCTGCCCACCTCGGCCTCCCAAAGTGCTGGGATTACAGGCGTGAGCCACCACGCCCAGCCAAAAAATCTGATTTTTAAAAAATCTATTCACTTGGAACAAATATTTTTTCATATAAGATCCTTTGAGCCCTTTTCAAGTAGTATTCAGTATTTTTCAGAAACCAAATATGATTGTTATCAGTGCATACTTCAGATATTTAACTTAGTATTTAGTATTTGGTTTATTATATTCTATTTACTTTTCTGTGAAACTTCAGATGCCTCCTCTGTGATGTTATAATATTAGATGTAAGTTATTAAGCTGGAATAGCCGAAGACAACTCTGCATTCGTCAGTCTGACAAGCCTATCTTTTACCTCCCACAGTTTTTTTCACAATCTCCTGAAAAACGCCTTATGCTATTCTATGCTTTCTACAAAGTGGTAGATACCTGGATAGAGAGTCGTCTCAATTGCAATGTTGGGTTTGATATATGACATCTTTTTAGCTATGACTATACTCTGTGCATTAAAGTCTTTAATGCAGTCCATTACAATTCACCAGCATTTGTTAGCTTCCAAGCCAATTTGAAGACATGAAAATATTAAGCTTATTTACATTTATACTAATATACTCAATGTCCTCATAAAGAATAGATTTGCTTTTTTAAGCCTGGATGTCTTGTAAATAAATTAAATCAAAAGATAGTTTCATTCTATTGTTTGACAATAGTCTAAAGGAACTCTCCCTCAGGAAGAATTCCTTCTTTAAGCAATTGTTTGGAGATGGGAGAGGTGAGGATCATTCAGCAAAATTTGTCATCACCTTGCTGTGCACCTCTAATCCATTTCTAACACCATGCTTTACTGTTAATAGAAATAGAAATATATAAGGCAATAAGAAATATATAAAGAAGACTCCCAAAACTTCACCCTAGTTTTATGGTAGCTTTATTAAGGAAAATTTCTCGGTTCACATCAATATTTTGAATTGTCTTTTTGTGTTTCACTGAGGTTTTGCATCCTGCAGCAATATTTTTTAACAAGATTTAGATAAGTAAATGGTATGTCATTCTTTTGCCAAGTGTGTGATGTAGGCAGTTGTAAGGGAAGATGGGAAATGACAACAAGCACAATGTCTAGACTATGTGCAAGTTCTCAGTTTTAGAAAAGAGTTCATGTGTAGGTTATGATTATGGAAATTGATTCCCTATGTTAGAAGGAAATAAAGAGAACCCAAGAGTGATCTAAAATGAAGCAAATTTATAGTTTACCTGGCAAGAGAGAGCCACAACATTAAGATGTGAGTTACTCTCCAAGCAAACTTTGACAAGGCTAAATAAAGGACAAAGAGGCACAGGTGTATCAAAAAGACAAGATTCCAAGTTCTGGTTTCTGATTGATTCAAGGTGGATTACAAATTGCTCCTTGCTATTGGTCACCTTCACCTTTTGTGTGACTAGTGCTGGGAAAACCAATTTCAAACTGGCCCAGGATGGGTTGCATGAAATTTCAGCAGGGCTGCTAGTTTACCTGATGAACTGATATGCATATACTCAAAGCTTTGCAGTTTTTTCCTTGATCGCTTTAAAAAAAAACAAAAAAACATCATGACTTGGATACAGGTTAGCAAGTCTTTAAGTATCCCAGATTGAATAGTGCTTATCTAGTGGATGTATCAAAAGAGGAACAGAAACAGAATGCTATGTATGGTAGGGATCATACCCAATTATCTGAACCAAAAAGTATCCATAGAGGAGGTAGAATTTAAGTCAGGCAGAGGTTATCCTTGGTATTGATGTCTCTTCATTAAGCAGATGCAGCTTTAAGTAAACCATAATTTTGTTTCTGAGTCAGAAGAAAACTATTGTTTATAAAGATCTAAACTATACAAATGTTTTAGAAATGTATTTTTATAGAATGAATAGATATTTGCTGCATAGACTCAATAGTTTGAAGTGTAGAAGGGTCTCAGAGACCATGTGGACAAGGATGAACTCCACGGGGCTCATTGTAGAATGGACCTGTACAACTTCCAGGCAAAGATTGAAGTGGAGGGGATCAGTAGAGCCTAAGCTCCAAGGATTCCTACCTCAGCCAGGGACATGGATGTTAGACTGCTCAATATTGTCTCATAGGTCACTGAAGCTTGTTTGTTTTTTTCCTGTGTGGTTCAGTTTGGATAATTTCTACTGATAAACCTTCATGTTTACTGACCATTTCTTCTGCAATGCCCTATATCCTATCTGGGGATTCTGTGGATTTTTTCACTTCAGATATTGTACTTTTCATTTATAGAATTTCTATTTAGTTTTTTAAATATAATTCTCATTTTCTCTGCTGATACATCTTAACTCTTACATTATGTCCATTTTCTACCTTGGATTTTTGAAAATATTTATAATAGCTGTCCTTGTCTGTTAATTCCACCATCTTTGTCATTTTGGGACCTTTTTCTTTCTCTTTTTTTTTTTTTTTTTTTTTTGAGACGGAGTCTCACTTTGTCACCCAAGCTGGAGTGCAGTGGCAAGATCTTGGCTCACTGCAACCTCTGCCTCCCCGGTTCAAGTGATTCTCCTGCCTCAGCCTCCCAAGTAGCTGGGATTACAGGCGCCCGCCACCACACCCAGCTAATTTTTTTATTTTTAGTAGAGACGGGGTTTCAGCATGTTGGCCAGGCTGGTCTCAAACTCCTGACCTCATGACCCACCCACCTCGGCCTCCCAAAGTGCTGGGATTACAGGCATAAGCCACCACGCCCAGCCCATTCTGGGGCCTTTTTCTGTTGAATACTTTTCCTCTAGATTATGGTTCACATTTTCCTACTTTTTTACTTCTGGTAATTATTACTTGTGTTCTGGACATTGTAGAGGACGTTTTATAGGGAGTCTAGATTGTGTTGTTTTCCATGAAAAGATGATGGGTTTTGTTCTGGCAGGCAGTTAAATTATTGGTGAATCAACTTGATCCTATAGGTTTGGTTTTATGCTTTGTTAAAGCAGGGCTATTTCAGTTTGGTTCTTAGTCTCTGGCATGAAAATAGCAATACTGTGTTTTTGCCATACATCTTGTGTGCTTTAGTCTCTAATAATAAGTTTTCGGCTTTTTTGTTTTCTATTTAGGAACTGACTTCTGAAACTGTTTCCACGAAGAAGACCATATTCATGCAGGAGGACACAAACCCCCTTGAGAAGGAGGCCTTGAAGCAGGAATTCCTGCCAGGTACTTCCAGTCTGATTCCAGGAATGCCTCAACAGGTTCCTCCTTCAGAGTCTGCTGGCCAGATTGACCAGAACTTCAAAATGCCACAAGAAATAAATTACAAGGAGGCTTTTCAGCATGAAGTTGCTCATGAAATGCCTCCTGGCTCCAAATCTCCTTTTTAGGTTACAGAAGGTAGATGCTTCTGATTTACTTCTCTCAAAGCTAGAAGCCAAGAAAATGGCCAGCTAGAACCAAGATTTAAGGGGCTGTAAAAGGCAAGTTCAGGGACTCTCCAGCCTACTCCTTTTCTGAAAAACCCTTAATCATGTGAACATTTGAACTAGTTATAGGATAAAATAAACTCAGAATAAGGATTTAAAATAAGTAACCAAGTGGCTGTGACTTTTTCCTCTTGTTTTATCAACGTTTTGGAGACTACACAATGAAAACACATCTGTTGGGGTGATCAGACCCAACACCCGGCCATGGGGGCTACAAAGTCCAGCCGAGTCAAAGGAAAGAGAAAAGACAAGTCAAGAGAGAAAGTGGGACCAGGGGGCCAATGCTAGTATGGAGGCTGTGAAGTCCCCAAGCTCTGGAAGCCCACACTATTTGTTGGTGATCAAACAAAGAAACAGGTGATGAGGATGTGGGAGTTGAAAGAAAGTGGTGTATCAAGCGAATGAACTACAGCTGTGAGGGTTTAGCATTTTCTTTGAAACATATGGCTACTTGAGATAATGGGAGTGCTAGAAGCAAGGAGCCAGCAAGTCTGGACACATTACAAAGGCCACAAGGGGTTTTATCCTGGACCCCGGACATGTTCCAAGCCCTGCCTCAACTTTTCTCCCAACACTAAGCTTTCCTCCCAACACACATCCATCTCGTGTGTTCATGTCTTAACTTTTGCTTCACTTCACAGTCAGGCCTCTCCGAGTATTTTTTACACATATCCTGGAGTCTACCTATGTCACTGATAGCAGATATTTTTCTTCAACATATATTATCAATGTTTTAATACTTTTCTTCAATTTTAGTAACTGGTAAAATACATGTAAGATGTACCATCTTAACCATTTTTAAGTGTACAGATCAGTTGTATTAAGTAGATTCATATTCTTGTGCAACCATCATCACCATCCGGCTGCAAAACTCTTTCATCTTGCAAAACTGAAACTCTACACCCATTAAAAAATAACTCGCCATTTCTCTCTCTCCCCAGCCCCTGGCAACCACCATTCTTTCTGTCTCTGTGATTTAGATTACTCTGTAAGTATGTTGTATAAATAGACTCATACAATGTTTGTCTTTTTTGTGACTGGCTTATTTCATTTAGCATAATGTCCTCCAGGTTCATTCATGTTGTAGCATGTATCAGAATTTCCTTCCTTTTTAAGGTGGAATAATATTCTGTTGTATGTTTATACCACGTTTTGCATATCCATTTATTTCATTGTCCATCAATGGGCATTCATCCATCAATGGATACGTTCACATTATAGCGACTGTGAATAATGCTGCTGTGAACATGACTCTACAAATATCTCTTCAAGATCCTGCTTTCAGGTCTTTTGAGTATATGCCCAGAAGTAGAATTGCTGGATCATATGGTAATTCTGTTTTTAATTTTTTGGGAAGCCGCCATTCTTTTTCCAGCAGCTGTACCATTTTACATTCCCACCAACAGTGCACAGGGTTCCAATTTCTCCACATCCTCACCAACACTTGTTATTTTGTTGTCATTGTTGTTGTTGTTGTTTTGATAGTAACCATCCTAATGGATGTGAGGTGGTATCTCATTGTAGTTTTGATTTGCATTTCCCTTATAATGAGTGATGTTAAGTCTGTACTTATTGGCCATTTGTATATCTTTTTTGGAAAAATGTCTATTCAAGTCCTTTGCCCATTTTTTAATTGCATTTTTTTTTTTTTGCTGTTGAGTTTTAGTTCTACATATATTCTAGATGTTAATCCCTTATCAAATATATGATTTGCAAATATTTTCTCCCATGCTGTGAACAAATGAAATGTTGCCTTTTCACTGTGTTGATAATGATGACAGGTATTTTGAAACAGCTTAAATGGCAGTAAACCTTAAAGGTTTGAAAAAAATGTTTTTAATTACATTCTATCTACATTCATTCAAATATCATCTATATACTAAGGACTTTAGATTTATATCTTTAATCAAAATTCCCTGAACTTGACTGCTTGACATCTCTACTTGGATGACCAATGGACACCTCAAACTTAACTCGTCTCAGTGGACTTTCCCTGATAGTTTCTCTGAAGCAGTTTCTCTCCATAATTCCACTTGCTCAGGCCAAAACTCTTGGAGTCACCTTTGACTGCACTTTTTTTTTGTCACCCTACATCTGGTTTGTTGGCTTTCCATCTAAATAAAGTCAGAATTCAACAACTTGAATGCCGAAACCACACTCATCTTTCTCTAGGTGATCGCAGTAGCCTGTTAACTAGACCCATCCTTGACCTGCTGTAGTCTGTCCTCAATACTAGTTACAGAACACACATAGCAGTAGTCAATTTTCTAAAATAATAGAAATATTAATACTAAATACTATTTATAACGTATTAGTATAAGCTATGAAAAGTTCCTGGGGGAATAAACACCAGACTGTTAATAGTGTTGTCTCCAACAAAAGTAACTATCAACAGAGTAAACGGACAACCTAAAGAATGGGAGAAAATTTTTGCAAACTATGCGTCTGACAAAGGTCTAATTTCCAGTATCTATAAGGAACTTAAACAAATTTACAAGAAAAACTCAACCCCATTAAAAAGTGGACAAAGGACGTTAACAGACACTTCTCAAAAGAAGACATACATGCAGCCAACAATCATATGAAAAAAGCTTGTCACTGACCATTAGAGAAATGCAAATATAAACCACAGTGAGATACAATCTCACACTAGTCAAAATGGCTATTATTAAAAAGTCAAAAAATAACAGATGCTGGTGAGGTTATGGAGAAAAAGGAACATTTATACACTGTTGACGGGAGTTTAAATTAGTTCGACCATTGTGGAAGACAGTATGGCAATTCCTCAGAGACCTAAAGACAGAAATATTAAACTATTCGACCCAGCAATCCCATTACTGGGTATATATCAAAAGGAATATAAATTTTTCTACCATAAAGACACATGCACGCATATGTTCAATGCTGCACTATTCACAATAGCAAGGTCATGGAATCAACCTAAATACCCATCAATGATAGACTGGATAAAGAAAATGTGATACATATACACCATGGAATACTATGCAGCCATAAAAAAAAATGAGATCATGTCCTTTACAGGGACGTGGATGGAACTGCGGGCCATTATCCTTAGCAGACTAACGCAGGAACAGAAAACCAAATAGCACATGTTGTCACTTATAAGTGAGAGCTAAATGATGAGAACACATGGACACATAGTGGGGAACAACACACACGGGGGCCTTTTGGAGAGTGAAGGGTGGGAGGAGGGAGAGGATCAGGAAAAATAATTAATGGATAATAGGCTTAATACATGAGTGATGAAATAATCTATATGGTAAATCCCATGACACATGTTTACCTATGTAACAAACCTGCACATCCTGCACATGTACCCCTGAGCTTAAAAGTTAAAAAAAAAAATAGTGATGTCTCAGTAGCAGGAATTATGGGAGACAATGACTTTCAGTTATAAATTTTTCTGATAATTCAATCTTTCCAATGAGTATGAATTACTTCTGTAAGAAAAAAGGAAGACATACCTTCAGTAAAGACTGGATTTTAGAATGTTTCCACTTAGAGACATCAAAAGGTTGAGTCTTGTGGCTGCCTCAGTGTCTTTCAACTAAAGGCCAGAGGCCAAGTATTTATATTCCTTAGTTTCTTAGTTAGTACCTCCTTCAGTTCTTTTTTTTGAGATGGAGTCTCGCTCTGTCACCCAGGCTGGAGTGCTGTGGCACAATCTCGGCTCACTGCAACCTTTACCTCCTGGGTTCAAGTGATTCTCCTGTCTCGGCCTTCTGAGTAGCTGGGATTACAGGTGTACACCACCATGCCCGGCTAATTTTTGTATTTTTAGTAGAGACAGGGCTTCATCATATTGGCCAGGCTGGTCTTGAACTCCTGACCTCAGATAATCCGCCTGCCTCAGCCTCCCAAAGTGCTGAGATTACAGGCATGAGCCACTGCGCCCGGCCCTTCTTTTAGTTCTATTGGACATATGCTATCATTTTTGTTAGCAACCATTTTTTAAGCATTTGTGTGTCCTGAGAAGGACAGCTGCATAATTTGTAGGGCCCAATGCAGTATGGAAATACAGAACCTATAAAGAATTTCAAGATGGTAACAACAGAGCTCTACTGAGGGATAGTGTTCCCAGGGGACTGAAAATTGCAAAGAAAAATGGCCCAGTTCCCCTATCCCCTCAGGGAAATGCTTAGAGGTCACTGGCAATGCCTGGGTTGCCCCTTTCTGAAGGACACATTCTTTCTAAAGGGAGATGAGTGCCTTCACTCAGGGTATAGCCTTTCTCCCCTCTCTTGGTAAGATGCCATTATGAGTCTCAGCTCTGGCCAAGCTTACCCTGCTCTCCCAGGTAAACTGAAGAGACACTGTCTTATTTTCCTCACTTCCTAATTCCTGTGGTTGGCAACTCTCTTCACCAATCCTGTCTACCTTTCAGGGCAGCTGTGATGGGCAGGAGAAGTAAGACCCAATGCTGAGCATGTGGGAGATGCTCAATGGCCACACACGAGCCCTGTGCAGGGACAGATGATGACCTAAAAGAAGGCAGGTGACACACCACAGAGAACGTCTCAGAGGGGGAGGAGGGCATGTGCAGAGGCACAGAGGCAGGAGCAAGTCCCACTGCAGGGTAAGCAGGATGTGTGTGAAGAAACTGCCCTGGAGGCGCTGCGTGCAGCAGGAGGGCTGGATCTGAGAGGTGCTAGAGACACAGAATCCACAGTGAGGGGAGGGAGAAGTCTAGAATGGCTCCCAGCTTTCACTTGTTTAGGGGCAAATTGAAGAACCAAGTAAATTTAGCCCCCAAATTACCGCTGCTTTTGAAGTGAGTTTAACATCGAGGCCATTCTCAAAGAGCTAGGGTCTTGGTTGGAATGCATCTTCCCCCAAAGGGCACATGTTCATCAGATGTTCCACACTTTTCTAAAGGGATTATGAAAATTCTCCTTCTTACCACACAAGTTGATTCCTCTACAAATGCTTTAGAAAAGAGACAGACATTAGCCGGGCGTGGTGGCTCATCCCTGTAATCCCAGCACTTTGGGAGGCCAAGGTGGGCGGATCACCTAAGGTCAAGAGTTCAAGACCAGCCTGGCCAACATGGTAAAACCCTGTCTCTACCAAAAATACAAAAATTAGCTGGGTGTGATGGCGCGCACCTGTTGTCCCAGCTACTCAGGAGGCTGAGGCAGAAGAATTGCTTGAACCCGGGAGGCGGAGGTTGCAGTGGGCTGAGATCAGCCACTGCATTCCAGATGGGGCAACAGAGTGAGACTGTCTCAAAAAAAAAAAAAAAAAGAAAAGAAAAGAAAAAGAGAAAAAAGAAAGAAATACATTATTAAAAAGGATTATTTTAAGCCAGGAGGTGGCTCACGCCCGTAATCCCAACACTTCAAGAGGCCAAGGCGAGAGCATCACTTGAGGCCAGGAGTTCAAGACCAGCCTTGGCAACATAGCGAAACTGTCTCTACAAAAAATTTAAAAATTAGCTGGGCATGGTGACATGCACCTGTGGTCCCAGCTACTTAGGAGGCTGAAGTGGGATGATGGCCTGAGCCCAGGAGGTAGAGGCTGCAGTGAGCCATGACTGCACCACTGCTCCACTCTGGGCAACAGAGGAAGACCCTGTCTCTCAACAGAAAAAAAGAAAAAGTTTATGTTAGTTTTCAATAAAGGTAACTGACATATTTGGCTGTTTAACGTGTACCAAGCACTGTGCTAAGTGCTTAATTGCATTATCTCATTTCATTCTCACAGTACCCCATGAGTTGGACACTTTCATAATCCCCATGTTATGGATGAGAAAACACTTAAGGTTCAGAGAAATTAATGGCTGGGCCAAGGGCAGACACCAGGAGGTGGCACTGACGTCTGCCTGTTACGGGCCCACACGCTTGGCTGCTGGGCTGTCCTAATTAATACAATCTAACAAAGAAAGTCTTTTTTCCCTGTTCAGGGACGTTTTGCTGCAAGTTGATTACAGTCTTTTTCTTGCCTCTTAGATGATATGAAATATTCACAGAGCTTTCAAATAACCATTGTTATACAGAAGCATTTAAGCTTACTCATGCATATTTTATTTGTCTCGATTACCAGCCAGAATTAACAATTCTCTAAGCATTTACGGCCCCAAACAAGATATTTCAAAAATTCGTATTAGATACTTTAGACACACTGTTATAACAATACAAGTGATAAAATTTATAAAGTTCTTCCCAGTGACAGAATATATCTCCCAGTAAAAACGTCCTTTTGACCAATTAGTACTGAGTGATATCATTCTTATATTTTTGTGCAGATTACAAATCTGTTTTCAAATGATGGAATAATATCCTATGGGAAAAATAAATACCCCTTTCTACCTTTAGTAAAGGAATTAAAAAGAACAACTTTAGGGGAACAAATACAAAAGCTATGATATTACAAACATATTTTCAGAATATAAGAGAGAATGAAATAGCTTAAATCAACTAAAAATGTGTCTATAAGAAGATGTTTGTCAGCAAAGAAAAACTGATGATGAATTTTCCTGGAAGGATTAAAATTTGTGATTTGTATGAAGACAGCTGTGTGCTCAGCTGACAGTTTTTCAAGGGTGGCTTACTGCTGAGGCATACTGCATGTCACATTGGCAAAGGGAAGGCTCTTTGGGTCTTTCTGCTTTCATGTTTGAGTTCCGTTTGTCAAGAAGAAACTAACTCAATGTCTTTCAACAAAAGGCAAGTCCAAAGGTCACAGAGGGAAGAGAGTTCCAGTAAGGTTTCCAGAAAGCAGAACTTTGGGAGCCGTGGTCAGAAGTTGGGCTGGCACTGCATAGATTTCTTGGGTCTGCTGTCCTCTAGACTCATGGTAAAAAGATACTGATTCCAAAGTATCATTAGAAAGGAAAAAATTTCTCAGTTACCACTGTCAAAAAAGAATCTCCAGGAATAAAATGACAGGATGCAGAGGTAGCATTGTCTAAAAAAGGCTCACTTGTAGATAAGTTTATCCAAAGTGAAATGAAACAATCAAAAATATCAGCAGAAATATAGTTCACAGGCAAGGGTTGTTGAGGCAAAAAAAAAAAAAAAAAAAAAAAATTGTTCCACAAGAGGCACCAGAAAAGAAAGAGTTCACCTATAATGCCAGGAAGGGATAAATTGATGAGGAGTCATTGCCACCAGTGATGCAACCCATGGTTATTATCAGCCAGACTGCAATCAACAACAACAAGTCACCATTAGGGACATATTCCAAGGCCTCAATGGGCCAGGATGAAACACTTTCAGATCATATGTTTGAAGAAACTAACTACATGGATGCAACTAGCTGAAGAGAAACTTTGCAAAAGTTATCTCCAGGAGACATAAATTCCATGGGTGAGCCTGGCCAAGATAAAAACCTTATAATGAGTGCTATCTTAGTCCAATCAGAGCACTATAACAGAATACCTTAGACTGGGTAATCTTTAAACAGAAATTTATGTCTCACAGTTCTGGAGACTGAGAGGTCTAAGATCAAGGTGATAGCAGATTCAGTTTCTGATGAGGGCCTTCCTCACAGATGGTGCCTTCAGTGTGTTCTCACATGGTGAAAGGGGCAAACAGGCTCCCTCAAACCTCTTTAATAGGGGCACTAATCCCATTCATGAGGGCAGAGGCCTCCTAACCTAATCCCCTCCCAAAGGCCCCACCTCTTAATACTATTGCGTTGGGGATTTAGTTTCAACATATGAATTTTTAGGGGACCATAGCAATGGCCAATAGAAATTAAGTTCTTTGGCCAGTCATGGTGGCTTACACCTGTAATCCAGCACTTTGGGAGGCTGAGGCAGGTGGATCACTTGAGGTCAAGAGACCAGCCTGGCCAACGTGGTGAAACCCTGTCTCTACAAAAAAATGCAAAAATTAGTTGGGCGTGATAGCATGCCCCTGTAGTTCCAGCTACTTGGGAGGCTGAGGCAGAGAATGGCTTGAACCTGTGAGGTGGAGGCTGCAGTGAACTGAGATTGCACCACTGCACTCCAGCCTGGGTGACAGAGCGAGACCCTGTCTCAAAAAAAAAAAAAAGAAAAAGAAAAGAAATTAAGGTTTCTTTTTGTTTGCTTCTTTTTAATTTGCCAAGTTACTTCTTACTAGAGAATAGAAATCAATTTCATAAGATATGTTAGCTAGGGAAAAATTCCTCTATGTTCCTAATTGTCACCATCAGTGCATAAAATCAGTGTTTATAAAATTCCCTCAAAAATAAATTGCTGGCTGGGCGTGGTGGCTCATGCCTATAATCCTGGCACTTTGAGAAGCCAAGGTGGGCAGATTGCCTGAGCTCAGGAGACCAGCCTGGGTAACAAGGTGAAACCCTGTCTCTACTAAAATACAAAAAATTAGCTGGGCATGCTAGCGCACACTTGTAATCCCAGCTACTCAGGAGGCTGAGGCACAAGAATCTCTTGAACCCAGGAGGCAGAGGTTGCAGTGAGCCAAGATCACACCCAACAGAGCCAGACTCTGTCTCCAAATATAAATAAAGAAATTGCTAAAGAAAGAGATTTCATGAATGAAATTGGCCACAAAATAATTATCCCAGGAGGGTCTCTCGGAAGTCTGAGATCCTTGGACAAAGATATTGAAGACAAGGCTCTTCAAAAAGAAATGCTTTTTTAAATATAGCTCATTTTTATTTTATTTTATTTTATTTATTTGTTTTGAGATGGAGTCTCGCTCTGTTGCCCAGGCTGGAATGCAGTGGCATGATCTCAGCTCACTGCAACCTCCACCTCCCGGGTTCAAGTGATTCTCCTGCCTCAGCCTCCTGAGTAGCTTGGACTACAGGCATCCGCCACCATGCCCAGCTATTTTTTTTTGTATTTTTAGTAGAGACAGGGTTTCACCATGTTAGTCAGTCTGGTCTCGAACTCCTGACCTCAAATGATCTGCCCACCTAGGCCTCTTAAAGTGCTGGGATTATAGGCGTGAGCCCCCATGCCAGGCCTTAAAGCTCATTTTTGAAAAGATGATTGGGCGGCCAGGCGCAGTGGCTCACACCTGTAATCCCAGTACTTTGGGAGGCCAAGGCAGGCGGATCATGAGGTCAGGAGATCGAGACCATCCTGGTTAACACGTGAAACCCTGTCTCTACTAAAAATACAAAAAAATTAGCCGGGTGTGGTGGCGGGCGCCTGTAGTCCCAGCTACTCGGGAGGCTGAGGCAGGAGAATGACGTGAACCCAGGAGGCGGAGCTTGCAGTGAGCCGAGATTGCGCCACTGCACTCCAGCCTGGGCGACAGAGTGAGACTGTCTAAAAAAAAAAAATTTCCCTAGGTGACATCAATGCATTTTCTATCAATAGGCAAATGTGACTGGGACCCAATTTCCCAAGCAGCCCTTTCAGGGGGTTACTGTGAAGAATGGAGGGGTTGAACAAAACATGGTTCTCTACAAGGCTCTTCAGGAGCATTTGAGTCAAATTCACAGAGAAATCCAGAGAGAAAATTCGCAAAAACTCTGGTCTGGAAGAGATATGTCCAGTACCACATTTAGAACGTAATTACTGAGAAAATGGCCTTAGAAAGAGAAATTTCCACCAAATGGATTGGCCAGAGCAGATGTTTATACAGAAAAATAATACCCATAGATCAAGATGTTCAGAATGAAACCTCAAATGAAGCGAATTCTGAAGGATGTTGACTCAATGAGAAATGATAAAACTAAGCAAATCTTGAAATCAGGAGGAATTAAACCAATGTATAAGGGCAAGCCCCAGGGCGCAGTTTCTTAGGATTACTCTTCGGGAGTAGCCAAGCCTACCAGAGTGATTCCATAGGAAAATATTCTGAAGAACATGTCTTCAGTCATGTTGTATCCATTGCCAGATCCCTTCAAAACAAAATGTCAAAAGAATCCTCATCGCCACGAGTAAAGCTCCTAAATAAAGAACAAAATTCCCAGCATATGTCACCAAAAATAATAGTATGTATATCTAGTCAAATAATGCCATCTGGAGATTAAAAGTTTCAAGTATAAGATTCATCAGGATAAAAATCTTCCAAGCAATTATTTAGGAGAGGAATAAGTAATGAATACTTTGAGCCAGGGCAATTTTCCCCAGCAAATGCTGTCAGAAAATCTATGGAGAGGATGCAACTCAGTGAAGTTCCCTGGCAGACGCTATCCAAAGGAAGAAAATCTTTAGAGAAAGACAGCCAAGACAAAATGTCTTTGGAATCAGGAGCAGTTTGGAGCAAGGCTGAGTGGACACTGAGTTCATAAAGCCATATGCCTGCAGCCCATGAGGAAGAAATGTGCTGTGTTTTCTCTCTGGCAGAAATGACCTCTCTGGAGTTGAAGCCAGTGAGTGAACAGGTACCACGGAGAAGGAATAAAATTATCTAGCCACACTTCACAAGTTTCATCACAAGAGACAAGTTCCCTAGAGGCTCTTAGTAAAAATTGAGTTGCTCTGCCTGGAATTAAACCAAATTCCTTCCTGAAAGTGGTTATTCTATATTTAACTATAATTTTTCCACTATAGGGAAGTGATATTCTTAATTTTTTTAGAGACAGGCTGGAGTGCAGTAGGTGATCGAGGCTTACTGCCGCCTCAACCTCCTCGGCTCAAGTGATCTTCCCACCTCAGATCCTCCAAGTAGCTGAGGACTGCAGGTGCACACCACCACATCCAACTAATAATATTCTTTAGACATGAAGAATGATGGCAAAACTATCTAAGGAGCTACTTTTCAACATATTGTCATTCAAAACTATAACAAAGTATCAGGTCTAAATATGCATCAAACTTTAGAAACTCCAGACAAAAAAGCAGTTGGCAACAAAGCTATCTAAAGAATAAATGAGAGGGTATAGCCCCTTCGCTCAATGAAGAATGGAGACAAAACAAGAATAAAAAACTGATGGACCAGGTGCAGTGGCTCACGCCTGTAATCCCAGCACTTTGGGAGGCTGAGGCGGGAGTTTGAAATCAGCCTGGCCAACATGGTGAAGCCCTGTCTCTACAAAAAATCCAAAAATTAACTGGGCATGGTGGCGCACGCCTGTAGTCCCAGCTACTCAGGAGGCTGAAGCAGGAGAGTTGCTTGAATCCCGGAGGTGGGGGTTGCAGTGAGCCAAGATCATGCCACTGCACTGCAGCCTAGGCAACAGAGCGAGACTCTGTCTCAAAAAAAATAAAAAGTAAAAAATCGAAACTTTTATTAGACTCAGCATCTACATGACTAGAAAGCAAGCTTCTCTTTTTAAAGGTATCTTTTCCTCCTGCCTAAATAGTATCCTTTAAGTACCTAAGGGAGAAGGAAAACATTGACATACCAGGAGGTTGCTGGGACCAACCTCGACCATCCGCCCTCACCGCTAGGGAGCAGTATCAGAGAGATGAGGGACAGATATGCAGGGGAGGAGCTCCAAGTTCGGTGAACTTTACTAAGCCCTGCCTGCTGACATTGCCTCTAAGGGTTTCCTTTTATATTACTGGCAGAATGAACTTCAGAATCTTGTGGTTTTCTACCCCAGCTTCCAATCTGCTTAGCATCTGACCTTTTCTTAAAACAAAGATCTAAACATTTCCTAAAACAACCTCCCAGAACAAAAGCAAGAACGCACAAACATGGACTGACAATTTTGAGGGCTGATTACAAAAAGAGTGCTTTGATTTGGTACAGTCATACCTCGGAGATACTGCAAGTTCACTGCAATGAAGCAAATAAGGCAATAAAGCCAGTCACGCACAGTTTTTGGTTTCCCAGTGCATGTAAAAATTATGTTTATGCTATATTGTAGTCTATTAAGCGTGCAATAGCATTATGTCTTCAAAAAAATATGCATATGTAATTTTAAAATACTTTTTTTGCTAAAAAATGCTAACAATCATGTGAATCTTCTCCGAATTGTAAATCTTTTTGCTGGTGGTGGGTCTTGCCTTAACATTGATGGTTGCTGACTGATCAGGGTGGTAGTTGCTGAAGGCTGGGGTGGCTATGGCAATTTCTTAAGAGAACAGTGAAGTTTGCCACATTTCATCCACAGTAGAACTTCTTTCAAAATTGGAGTCAATCCTTTCGAACACTGCCACTGCTTTATCAACTAAGTTTGTGGAATAGTGAAAATCTTTGTTGTCATTTCAACAGTGATCACAATGTTCATGAATCATAAATGTTCTGGATGGCATGTAGAATGGCGAAAACTTTCCAGAGGTTTTTAATTTACTTTGCTTGGATCTATAAGAGGAATCACTATCCATGGAAGCTATAGCCTTACAAAATGTATTTCTTAAATAATAAGACTTGAAAGTCAAAATTACTCCTTGATCCATGGGCTACAGAATGGATGTTGTGTTAGCAGGCGTAGAAACAACATTTACCTCCTTATACATTTTCACCAGCGCTCTCAGGTGATGAGAGGCATTGTCAGTGAGCAGTAATATTTTGAAATAAATCTTTTTGGCTGGGTACAGTGGCTCACACCTGTAATACCAGCACTTTGAGAGACTGAAGTGGGTGGATCACCTGAGGTCAGGAGTTCGAGACCAGCCTGACCAGGAGTTCGAGACCATGGTGAAACCCTGTCTCTAGTAAAAATACAAAAATATTAGCTGGGCATGGTGGCACATGCCTATAATCCCAGCTACTCAGGAGACTGAGTAAGGAGAATCATTTGAACCCGGGAGGCGGAGGTTGTAGTGAGCCAGGATGGTGCCATTGCACTCCAGCCTGGGCAACAAGAGTGAAACTCAGTCTCAAAAAAAGAAAAAAAAGAAAGAAATCTTTTCATCTGAGCGGTATGTCTCAAAAGTGGGCTTAAAACATTCAGCAAACCATGCTATAAACAGATGTGCTATCCAGGCTTTGTTGTTCCACTGATAAACACAGGCAGAGTAGATCTAGCATCATTCTTAAGGCCCCTAGGATTTTCAGAATGATAAATGAGTGTTGGCTTCAACTTAACATCACCAGATGCATTAGACTCTAACAAGAGAGTCAGCCTGTCCTTTGAAGCTTTGAAGCCAGGCATTGACTTCTCCTCCGTAGCCATGAAAGTCTTGGACGGCATCTTCTTCTTATAGAAGGCTATTTCATCTACATTGAAAATCTGTTGTTTAGTGTAGCCACCATCATCAATTATCCCAGGATAATTATTTTCAATTATTTTCTGGATAGCTTGCTGCAGCTTCTATATCAGCACTTGCTGCTTCACTCTGCACTTTTATGTTATGGAGATGGCCTCTTTCCATAAACCAGCCTCTGCTAGCTTCAAACTTTTCTTCTGCAGCTTATTCATCTCTCTCAGCCTTTACAGAATTGAAGAGAGGTAGAGCCTTGCTCTGGACTAGGCTTTGGCTTAAGGGAATATTGTGGTTGGTTTGATCTTCCATCCAGACCACTAAAGCTTTCTCCATATTCGCTTTCTTATCATTTGTGTGTTTACTGGAGCAGCACTTTTACTTTCCTTCCATAAACTTTCCTTTGCATTCACAACTTGGCTGTTTGGCACAAGAGGCGTAGCTTTCGGCCTGTCTTGGCTTTCGACATGCCTTCCTCACTAAGCCTAACCATTACTACTTTTTTTTTTTTTTTTTTGAGACAGGGTCTCGCTCTGTGGCCCAGGCTAGAGTGCAGTGGGGTGATCTCAGCTCACTGCAACCTCCACCTCCCAGGTTCAAGCAAGCAATTCTTGTGCCTCAGCCTCCTGAGTAGCTGGGACTACAGGCACCACCACGTCCAGCTAATTTTTATATGTTTAGTAGCCACAGGGTTTCACCATGTTGGTCAGGCTAGTCTCGAACTCCTGGCCTCAAGTGATCTGCCTGCCTTGGCCTCCCAAAGTGCTGGGATTACAAGCGTGAGTCACCATGCCCAGCCCATAACTAGCTCTTGACTTAAAGTGAGAAACACGTGACTCTTCTTTTCACTTGAACATTTAGAGGCCATTGTACAGTTATTAATTGGCCTAATTTCAATATTGTTGTGTCTTGGGGAATAGGAAGGCATGAGGAGAGGGAGAGAGATGAAGGAATGGTGTGTTGGTGGAGCAGTCAGAACATACACAGTATTTGTTGATTGAGTTCACCGTCACACACACAGTATTTATTGGTTGAGTTCACCATCTTATATGGGTGTAATTGTAGATAATTACAAAGTAACATCAGAGATCACTGATTGTAGATTCCTATAACAGATATAATAATAATGAACGAGTCTGAAATATTGTGGGAATTATCAAAATATAACACAGAGACACAAAGTGGGCACATGCTGTTGGAAAAAAATGGCACCCATAGATTTGCACAACACAGGGTTGCCACAGACCTTAATATTTATTTATTTATTTATTTATTTATTTATTTATTTATTTATTTTATTGAGGTGGAGTCTCACTCTGTCGCCCAGGCTGGAATGCAGTGGTGCTATCTCAGCTCACTGCAACCTCTGCCTGCCAAGTTCAAGTGATTCTGTTGCCTCAGCCTCCCTAGTAGCTGGGATTACAGGCATGCGCTACCACACCCTGCTAATTTTTTTTTTTTTTTGAGACAGAGTCTTGCTGTGTTGCCCAGGCTGGAGTACAGTGGCATGATCTCGGCTCACTGCAACCTCCACCTCTGGGTTCAAGCAATTCTCGTGCCTCAGCCTCCCGAGTAGCTGGGATTACAGGCATGCACCATCACGCCTGGCTAATTTTTTGTATTTTTAGTAGAGACAAGGTTTCACCATGTTGGCCAGGCTGGTCTTGAACTCCTGAGCTCAGACAATCCGCCTGCCTCAGCCTCCCAAATTGCTAGGATTACGGGCATGAGCCACTGTGCCCGGCCAGACCTTTAATATTTAAACAAAATGCAGTATCTGCAAAACAGAGCAAAGCAAAACACAATACAATGAGGTATGTCTGCGCTTAATTTCTTACACAAATCAGATAGGTAGGTAGATAGAACAAACGACATTACTGGGATTCATCATGGAAATGTTCCACTATGGCCATTATGTATCCATTAAAAGCAATAATGTAGAAAGATACAAATTTATAATATCAGGGTGTGTGTTTGTGTGTACTGGTGTGTCTATCCACAGAGAACTATCTGGAAAGATGGTCATTTGAGGACAGGATTACTATTGAATTTGTATTTTGTCATGCTTTTCTGTATCATAAAATTTTTTATAAAGATCATGAATCCCATATAAAATAAAAATATGTTTTTTCATTTGGGAAAAATTAATTTTTTAAGCAAAACTTATCAATATGAATCTGGACAGCTCAACTTCTTCATTTTCAAAAGTAGGAAATGTATATTTGTCACTCTGGCTTTCATCGTGACTGTTAACATGGTGTGCTAGAGTCCCATCTAATAGTTTTTGTGTTTCAACAGGATTCTTCCTTGCCAGCCTCCAGGATGGAAGAGTAATGGAGGGAACTCTCTGGTTATTTTCTCTACCTGTCCTCACTCTAGGAGGAAAATTGACCTCTCTGGTTGTTGAGATTGTTAGGTGACTGCAAATCTTGGGGTTGCATTCATATGCTGGGCAGAGTAAATGTATTAAAAGTAACACTTTTGTGTTTCTTTTTTTTTTTCTCTCCTTGGTCTCTTAAACCTGCTGGTATTTGTGAGGCTCACATTTGCAGCTTCTGTATCTACAATTTGATGGGAAAGTCAGTCTCCTGGAGGGAAATGAGAGACACTACCACATTCTTCGGTTTATCTGATTATCTAACTGAATATAATTCTAAATAAACTATTACTCTACTCAAATGCAGGAAGGAGAACCTATTGAAACTGTTCTCTTGTCATAAAATTGCCCTCGGGTTCATTATTGTAATTACCATTACCATTGCTCATGGCTATATTATGATCACGAATATAACAGTCATTAGCTAAATGCTTCTGACTTTCCTTCCAGGCATAGACCTTCATCACGCATCTCAAACTCAGGAAGTCAGTCTCTGGTTCTCCCACCCATGAACATCCATCTCCAACTTCCACTACTCCCTGTGACACTTAAATGAGATAATTCACATAGAGCACATAGAATTAGCATGCCTGGACCACAGGGACTCCCGATGGCATCAGCATTGGCTGCTGCTGCTGTCATGATTGTTGTTGCTGTGCTAGACCTGTGTAATTTTAAAGTTGTAGTTGTCGCTGCTAAGGGACAATTTCCTGCCACCTCTACTGTTTTTTTCTCTGCATTAACAAAAGCCCCAGCTGGTTTTCCTCCCACAGCCATGTGGTGGCACCAGCACTTCACAAATTTTCATCTGAAATAGGTAGTTTTTTTTGTTTGTTTTTGTTTTTTTGTTTTGGGGCAGATTCTCACTCTGTTGCCCAGGCTGGAGTGCAATGGCGTGATCTCGGCTCACTGGAACCTCCACCCCCTGGATTCAAGTGATTCTCCTGCCTCAGCCTCCTGAGTAGCTGAGATTACAGGCACCCGCCACCACGCCCGGCAAATTTTTGTATTTTTAGTAGAGAAGGGGTTTCACCTTGTTAGTCAGGCTGATCTCGAACTCCTGACCTCAGGTGATCCACTCACCTCGGCCTCCCAAAGTGCTGAGATTACAGGTGTGAGCCACTACACCTGGCCTTTTGCTTGTTTTTTAAATTGACAAATAAAAACTATACGTATATGTATATATATATATATAATGTACAATATGTTTAACATGTGCATTACCTAACATACTTATCATTTTTTGTGGCATGCACACTAAAAATGTTAACCATTTTCAAGTGTACAATACATTGTTTTTAACTTTAGTCACCACGTTGTACAACAAATCTCTGAATTTATTCTCCAATCTAACTGAAATTTTATATCCATTGACCAACATCTTCCCAACCTCCACTCCCATCCCAGCCCCTGGTAACTACCATTTGAAATGGATGGTTATTAATTGCAGCAGGACTTTCAGCAGGGATCCTGAGGTCAGGTCCATGTTTCTGCTTATACAAAGAGTCAGCCTAGACAATCAGATCTTCCATAACCTGTAGAAATGTTTCCTTTTTGTGTTTCTTTTTATGGGGATTTACTTAGTACTTAATCTTGTGTAAATCACCCCTGCTTTGGCCTCCATATTTCTCAATAATTATGCTAAGATAGTCTAAGTAAACCAAGGGGCAACTTGAAAATAATAATGGTTATGTATTGAGCACTTACCAGACACAGCCATCCCTCTGGAGCTTACAGAGTAGCTGGAAAGAGAGATAATAAGCAATAGAACAAATAAATTTGAAGTACTATATGAAAATAAGTCCAGAGTGTGGTAAGTACTATGAAGAAAATAAAGGGCCACAGGGAGAAGCCACATTGTTTCACGGTTAGGTCTATATTCATTTTGAGTTAATTTTTGTGAAAGGTGCAAGGTGTGTATTTAGGTTCATTTTTTACATCTGTGCATCCAATTGTTTACCACTATTTGTTGAAAAGATCAGGCCGGGCGTGGTGGCTCACGCCTGTAATCCCAGCACTTTGGGAGGCTGAGGCGGGCGGATCAGGAGGTCAGGAGATCGAGACCATCCTGGCTAACACGGTGAAACCCCATCTCTACTAAAAATACAAAAAATTAGCCGGGCGTGGTGGCAGGCGCCTGTAGTCCCAGCTACTCAGGAGGCTGAGGCAGGAGAATGGCGTCAACCTGGGAGGCGGAGTTTGCAGTGAGCCGAGATCGTGCCACCGCACTCCAGCCTGGGTGACAGAGCAAGACTCCATCTCAAAAAAAAAAAAAAAAAGAAAGAAAGAAAAGAAAAGATCATCCTTTCTGCAGTGAATGGCCTTTGTGCATTTGTCAAGGATCAGTCGACCATATTTTTGTGACCTATATATCTATTTAACCAATACCACACTGTCTTGATTACTATAGCTTCATGTAATCCTTGAAATTGGTGGTATTATGGGAGGCTGAGGCAGGAGAATGGCGTGAACCTGGGAGGCGGAGCTTGCAGTGAGCTGAGATCACGCCACTGCACTCCAGCCTGGGCTACAGAGCAAGACTCTGCCTCAAAACAAAAAAAAAAAAAAGAAAAAAGAAAAAAAAAAGAAATTGGTGGTATTACTACTTCAACTTTTTTCTTCTTCAGTGTTGTGTTGGTTATTTGAAGTCTTTTCCTTTCATATAAACTTTAGAATCTATTTGTTGATATCTACAAAATAGCTTTCTGGGATTCTGATTGGGATTGCATTGAATCTATAGTTCAAGTTGGGAATAATTAATATTTTAATAATATTGAGTCTTTCTTTGTTCCCTTTTTTTTTTTTTTTTTGATACAAGGCCCAGGCTGGAGTGCAGTAGTACGATCATAGTTGACTGAAGCCTCAAACTCTCGGCTTCAAGTGATCCTCCCACCTCAGCCTCCTGAGTAGTTGGAACTACGACTGGCTAATTTTTCAATTTTTTAGAGATGGAGTCTCACATTGTTTCACAGCCTGGTCTCCAATTCCTGGCTTCAAGCAATCCTCCCACTTTGGCCTCCCAAAAGTTTGGGATTACAGGCATGAGCCATTGCACCAGGCCTTCTTTCTTTTTTCAGAGACAGGGTCTTGTTCTGTTGCCCTAGCTGGAGTGCAGCGGTATGATCATAGCTCACTGCAGCCTCAAACTCCTGGGCTCAACAGATTCTCCTGCCTCAGCCTCCCGAGTAGTTGGGACTCCAGGCATGAGCCACCACACCCAGCTAATTTTTCAATTTCTTAGATACGGAGTCTCACTATGTTACCCAGGCTGGTCTCGAACTCCTGGCCTCAAGTAATCCTCCCACTTCAGACTCCTGAGTAGCTGGGATTACAGCCAAAAGCCACAGTGCCTGGCTTGTTACTGTTTTAATCCATGAGACGGAAATAGGTCTCCATTTATTTAAACCATCTTTGACTTAGTTCATCAGTATTTTGTACTTTTGCACATGTAGATCCTATACATATTTTGTTAGATTTTTATACTTAAGTATTTTTGGTGCAATTATAAATGGAATTTTTTATTTCAAATTCCATTTGTACATGGCTGGTATATAAAAAAGCAATCTTTTGTATATTCACCTTGCTGTACTCACTTATTAGTTTCAAGAGTTTTTTTGTTTTTGTGTTTGGTAGATTCTTCAAGATTTTTTTCATAGACAATCATGTCATCTGCAAATAAAGACAGTTTGTCTCTCCAATTTAAATATGTATTCATTTTATTTTCTTTTTCTTTCTTATTGCAGTAGCTAGGACTTTCAGTATAATGTCGAATAGGAGTGATGAGAAGGATATCCTTGCCTTGATCCAGATACTATAGAGAAAGCATTCATTCTATTTGCTACTTTTTTGTGGAGGACTTTTGTGTCTATGTTCATAAAAGATATTGGGCTATAGTTGGCTATATTGGCTATAGTTTTCCTTTCTTGTAAAGTCTTTATTTAGTCTTTATTTAGTTTGGCTAGTAAGATAATGCTGGCATGACTTTCTCAAGTATTTCTCCATACTCCCCTGGCTGCAACACTTCTAGCTTATTTTCCTGAAGTCTTGATTCCTGTTGACTATGTTTTTCCCCCTTAAGTGAGACAGAAAGGTTAGAGGAAACTAATGTTTCTTCTAACGTTATGGAATGTTAGAATGTTCTTTTCCCAACTGAGTGGAATGAATGTTCTTTTCCCAACTGAGATCAGCCTCTGCCAGAGTCTTTTCCTCTGAAGATTAGATCTCTGTTATGTAAAATATTCTGGGCATATTTCACGGGCATTACTCTTCTTCTCCACTTCAAGAACCACTAAACCATAAGGGGAACTTCCTCAAGTCTTCACCAGCGGTACCTTGTGTGTTTCTTGAAAATAAAGTCCATGAAAGTGTGGGGGCCAGCCGGGCGCGGTGGCTCATGCCTGTAATCCCAGCACTTTGGGAGGCCGAGGCGGGGCGATCACGAGGTCAGGAGATCGAGACCATCCTGGCTAACATGGTGAAACTCCGTCTCTACTAAAAATACAAAGAATTAGCTGGGTCTGGTGGCAGGCGCCTGTAGTCCCAGCTACTCAGGAGGCTGAGGCAGGAGAATGGCGTGAACCCGGGAGGCGGAGCTTGCAGTGAGCCGAGATCGCGCCACTGCACTCCAGCCTGGGTGACAGAGCAAGACTCCGTCTCAGAGGAAAAAAAAAAAGTGTGGGGGCCACCACTAAGACTGCAGCTGTAGATGTTTGTCCTTCTCACACTAATCCACACACTACCTGCAGTAATTCATCAGAATTACTACAGATGCTTCTGGACTCATGATGCCGTTATGTCCCAATAAACCCATCATCAGTTGAAAATATCGTAAGTTGAAGATGTATTTTATACATCTAATCTACCAAACATCACAACTTAGCCTACACTACTTTAAGTATGTTCAGAACACTTACATTAGCCCAGCACTGCAAGAGAGCATTGTGCCACATATCACTGGCCCTAGAAAAGATCAAAATTCAAAGTATGGTTTCTACTGAATGTGTGTCATTTTCACACCATTATAAAATCAAAAAATTGTAAGTTGAACCATTGTAAGTTCGGACCATCCGTTCTGAGGCATCACTGAGCTGGCTTCTGCTCCAGGTAAGGAGATCTCAGCTGGACTTCTTGGAAGAGCCTTTCTCTCCAGAACCCAGATGGAGATTTGGCCTCCAAACCCAGTTTTCTGATAGATCCAGAGAAAGTCATTGATTTTCCAGTTTCCCGTATTTTTCTTGTAAGGATGAGAGCGCTTCTAACCTTTTCATATATCAGAATTGAAATCAGAAGTCCTCTAGAGAGACCACTTTAGATAGAAGGTCAGGGAACACTGAAAGTGACATTAGAATTGAGCTCCAAAAATAAGCAGGAACACAACAGCCCTGCCAGGCAGGTAATGGTACCATTTTACAGACAACAGTCCTAGGGCTAGAGAGAGAAAGTGATTTTGCCAAGAGTCAAAGCCCAAGGCTTTGAAAGGGCCCAGCCGGCTTCAAAGTCAATCCTTTCTTCATTCCACCAAGCAGCCTCAAACTCGTAATGCAAAGGGAGAGGCTGGAGGAGCCATCTGTCTATGGAAATGCTCAAATATATTCAGAGACTTTGAAATTGTGCCTTCTGGCTGGGCACGGTGGCTCATGCCTGTAATCCCAGCACTTTGGAAGGCCAAGGTGGGCAGATCACCTGAGGTCAGGAGCTCAAGACCAGTCTGACCAACATGGCGAAACCTCATCTCTACTAAAAAAAAAAATACAAAAATTAGCTGGGTGTGGTGGCGCATGCCTGTAACTCCAGCTACTCGAGGGGCTGAGACAGGAGAATTGCTTGAACCCAGGAGAGAGAGGTTGCAGGGAGCCAAGATCGTGCCACTGCACTCCAGCCTGGGCAACAGAGCAAGACTGTGTCTCAAAAACAATAACAACAAAAAGAAATTGTGTCTTCTTTTAGTTTTGCCTCAAATAAGCAAATTGAGTTTAAAGCTAAGCAAGTGTGTTATGGTGACTAGAGCTCTGGGCAGGGAGCCAGGAGACCTCAGCAGTAGCCTGGCTCTAGCAGGAGATTGCTGGTGACTTTGGGGAAGTGCTTACTCTCCCTGGGTTTTATTTTTTTCATCCTTAAAATAAGAAATCATAGACAAATCACAGGAAGTTTTTTTTGCATAGTTTTTTTCTTTTTTAACAGGAAGTTTTGAGTAGCCTGAGAACATTGAATTTTTCCATTGAATATCATTCTCCTTTGCTGTCTGTAGGCCGAAGAGAGTTAACTCTGCCTCAAGGGAGAGATTATCCATGTGAACCTCAGCTCTGGTTCAGGTTCTGATGAAGGGTTTAGAGCAAGTCAGATGAAATAGGGTGCAGACAAGGACAAGTTCTCCACCTTGCTGGCACCCTAAAGGTACAAATTTTCTGGACAAATCCTGGCCTCTGGCCCCAGGTAAAGCCTCAGCATAGGTGATATTGACCATTCTCATTGTTGATGTGCTCATGGCCTTATTTAATTCTTCTTCAGTGCTCATCTCACTGAGGACAGCTATAAAGATGAAGCCAGGGAAAGAACAGAAGCCACTGTGCAGATCATCTTGGATAGTCTAGGGGCTCATTAATTTGGCAGCCCCAGACTGGGTCTAACTGACAGCAGCCCACATTATGATGCTGGGCTAGGCTGTCTCGGGGAAGCCAGCTGTCTTCAGGCTTGCATGACCAGGTTCAGATTTGAGGTGGAAATTGCGCAAATGCAGTGATGCTCCGTATGTGTTTCACATGGCCACCCACACATCTCTTCATTCGGATGGAGACTGAATTAAAACTCCAACTCTACCTTTTCCTTGCTCTACGACCTTGACCAAGTCACTAATCTCTTTAAGCCTCCAGTTCTCCTCTTTAAGAGGATAGTAATGCTTTCCTTACAGAACTGATGTAAGGCTGGCAGATAATGTATGTAAAGCACTTAGCATGGTACAAGGCAGATCATGAGCATGTGGTCATTGGTAGTTACAGTCTTAACTATTACAACAATTAACTATTATAACAATTAAGTTAATAGTTATAACCATTTAGTACCTAGCCACTGAGTACTAAGCATGAGCTAGGTCCTATGCTTGGTTCTTCACATGAAAGAGAAATTAGTCCAATATAATCCCTGCCCTAAAGAAGCCTCTAATCCAATAAAAGAGCAAATCATATACTAAATAATTACACAAGTCTGATTGGCATCATGCTCCAGGAGAGGAATCACAGTCCTAAAATAATCCAAGGCAGGAGCATTTGCTGTGGATGTAGGAAAGGAGAATTAGGCTGGACTTTTGGATCTTACACAGGCAGGAGATGGAGGGGTAGAGGTCAAGCCCATGGACTCAGGATGGTGCAAAGAGAAGAGGACCCTACTACCCAGAGTTCCATTTACTAGTAAATTGGAGCACAGCCTACAGCCCAGTAGGAAGATCCATGCAATATCCTTATGCCTTTTGTAAGGGTATGTCCGTCTTCAAGACTTGCAGTGGCCAATAATGGGTCATGAAGGTACCTCCCTGAGGTCTCAGACTTCCTGTGAAAACAGAATTTGTGGAATCTTATCAGAGAACTTTCCAGGATGCCCCAGAGGAAGCCAAAGCACCTATGTCAGGTCTTGTGGCCTCCTGCATTCCATGACCACCCACAAGAGCACATTCAACAAACCCATCCTTAGCAGTTTCCTCACAATTACATTATTACCCAGACATGTACAAATCAATCTCCACACAGATACTTTCTAGCGGAGAAGGTCAGTGAAGCCTTTAAAAAGAGGTTGGCATTGAGCTGGATCTCAGTAGGATTTGGGGAAGATTCTCCAGGAAAGGGGAAGAGCAAAGCAAGGCAGAGACAGAGGCTGGAACAACAGACCACCTCTAGATCTGATAAGTGAGCCTATTCTGCTGGAGCAGAGGGCATCTCTGCCAGTGACAATGGCTCAAGTTTCCAAGTGCTTTAAAAGTGTATCAGGTTCTAGACTAAGATCTGGAAGGCATTAACTCATCAAACCCTCACAGACTGGATACTGTTATCTTCCCATTTTTCTTTTTCTTTTTTTTTTTTTTAGACAGAGTCTCACTCTGTCACCCAGGCTGAAGTGCAGTGGTGCAATCTCGGCTCACTGCAAGCTCTGCCTCCCGGGTTCACGTCTTTCTCCTGCCTCAGCCTCCCGAGTAGCTGGGACTACATGCGCCCGCCACCACGCCTGGCTAATTTTTTTTTTTTTTTTTTTGTATTTTTAGTAGAGATGGGGTTTCACCGTGTTAGCCAGGATGGTCTCAATCTCCTGACCTCGTGATCCACCCACCTCGGCCTCCCAAAGTGCTGGGATTACAGGAGTGAGCCACCGCGCCCCGCCATCTCCCCGTTTTTCTTAAAAGAAAGCTGAGGCTCAGTAAGATCAATGATTACCTAAGGCTACGGAGATAAAGCCTAAAGCAGAATTCAACCCTGACTGAAGTCCAAGCTTTAACCACTAAGCAATGTTAGTTTCCAATGAGAAACGATAGGAAAAGGAGATTAGGGTCAGGGCAGGTCACCTTGAGTAACTAGCAAAGAGCTTTGCATTCAGTGACACTAAAACTCTGCATCGAGAGTGTTTTGGAGGCCTCCAAGCTTGTAGTAGAATCTCCTTAAGCCTGAGCAGAAAGTTGCATGCAGACCCAGGCCAACAAACAACCCAACCTGGAGACCAGAAAAATTCTAATCTGAGATAAAGTAGTGTCTACTGGGAATGTGACTGCAGACCCCGGGCTTAGAAAGGTCTTTCCAGGTGCTAGGTGTGCTCATTTTACCATTCTTTTTCAACACTTTGGGCTTCTGTCATCTTCAAGACCCAAGGTGCCTGTCTCTGATCCAGGAGAAAAGTTCAAAAAAAGACCCAAGATGGCACTTGACTTGTTCTCATGGATATATATATTTGTTCCAGGCTGAGCACGGTGGCTCACGCCTGTAATCCCAACACTTTGGGAGACCAAGGCGGGCAGATCACTTGAGCCCAGGAGTTTGAGACCAGCCTGGCCAACATGGTGAAACCCCATCTCTATCAAAAATACAAAAAAAATTAGCTGTGGTGGTGCACGTCTGTAGCCCCACCTACTCCAGAGACTAAAGCAAGAGAATCCCTTGAGCCTGGGAGGCGGAGGTTGCAGTGATCCCAGATCGCACCACTGCACTCTAGTCTGGGCAGCAAAGGGAGACTCTGTCTAAAAATAAAAAAAAATTTAAAAATCTGCGTCCAGTAAAAATCAGCAACCCAGTGGCAGATGAGGGTATGGAAAAGAAGACAGAGAGAATGATGAGAATCTAGAGGCTCGCAGAGCCTCTCCCCACTGACCTGGCTTTGTTTGGGAGCAACATAGGGCCTTGGGTACCTCCTTTCCCTGCCAGAAGAGGAGAGGGAGCTCACCACAGCTGCTGGAGCACGATGAGCATCTGGCTGCGAATCAGGTCACCTTGAGGAAATGAATGATGACCTTGGACAAGTCTTTGTGCTATCTATAAAAGGATGGACCAGGTGATCCTGAAGACCCCTCAGCGTTTTGTTTGTTTGTTTAAATTTTTTATTGTGGTTAAAATAAACACATGATGGCTGGGCACAGTGGCTCATTCCTGTAGTCCCCACATTTTGGGAGGCCAAGGCAGAAGGATTGCTTGAGTCCAGAAGTTTGAGACCAGCCTGAGCAACATAGTAAGACCCTGTCTCTGCAAAAAGTTTAAAAAGTAGCCGGGCGTGGTGGCACATGCCTGAAGTCCCAGCTACTCAGAGAGGCAGAGGTGAGAGGATAGCTTGAGCCTGGGAGGTCGAGGTGGCAGTGAGCTATGATCATGTCACTGCCCTTCATCCAGCCTGGGCAACAGAGTGAGACCCTGTCTCAAAAAAACAAACAAAAACACATAAAATTGTTCCTAATCATATTTAAATGGTTACAGTTCAGTAATGTTAGATATGTTCTCATTGTTGTGCAACACATCTCCAAGTTTTTCGTGTTGCAAAACCGAAACTCTGTACTCATTAAACAACAATTCCCCATTTATCCCCTCCTCCCAGCCCCGGCAACTACTGTCTATTTTCTGTCTCTGTGATTGTTTTCTTTTTTTGAGACAGGGTCTCACCGTGTTGCTCAGGCTGGAGTGCAGTGGCGCAATCATGGTTCACTGCAGCCTCAAACTCCTGGGCTCAAGCTATCCTCCCACCTCAGCCTTCTGAGTAGTTAGGACTACAGGCATGCACCACAACACCCAGCTAATTTAAAAAAAAAAATCTGTAGAGATGGGGTCTCACTATATTGCCCAGGCTGGTCTCAACTTCCTGGCCTCTAGAAATTCTCCTGCCTTGGCCTCCCAAAGGACTGGGATTACAAGTGTGAGCCACCAATACCTGGCCTGATTTTGACTACTCTAGGTGCCTCATAAGATTCCACTCTAGGTGGACTCATACAGTATTTGCCTTTCTGTGATGAGCTTATTTCATTTAGCATAATGTTCTTATGATTCATCTATGTTGTAGTGTGTGTCAAAATTTCCTTCCTTTTTAAGGCTGAATAATATTCCATTTTGTGTGTGTGTGTGTGTGTGTGTGTGTGTGTGTGTGTGTAACATTTTGTTTATCCATTCATCTGTTGATAGATACTTGAGTTGCTTCCACCTCTTGGCTACTGTGAATAATGCTGCTATGAACATGGGTATGCAAATATCTCTTCGAGATCTGACTTGGCCTTTCAGGTTTAAAATGTAATGAATTTGTTTGCATATTTTAGTACTACTTATTTTTATTTTTATTATTATTATTATTTTTTTGAGACGGAGTCTCGCTCTGTTGCCCAGGCTGGAGTGCAGTGGCCTGATCTCAGCTCACTGCAAGCTCCTCCTCCCAGGTTCACGCCATTCTCCTGCCCTACAGCCTCCCTAGTAGCTGGGACTACAGGCGCCCGCCACCACGCCCGGCTAATTTTTTCTTTTTTCGTATTTTTACTAGAGACGGGGTTTCACTGTGTTAGCCAGGATGGTCTCAATCTCCTGACCTCGTGATCCGCCCGCCTCAGCCTCCCACAGTGCTGGGATTACAGGCGTGAGCCACCTCGCCCGGCTTTTTATTACTACTTATTACAAACAACAGGGCCGGGCACGGTGGCTCACGTCTGTAATCCCAGCATTTTCGGAGGCCGAGGCAGGTGGATCACCTGAGGTCAGGAATTCGAGATCAGCCTGGCCAAGATGGCAAAACCCCGTCTCTACTAAAAATACAAAAACTAGCTGGCTGTGGTAGCAAGTGTCTCTAGTCCCAGCTACTGGAGAGGCTGAGCCAGGAGAGTCACTTGAACCTGGGAGGTGGAGGTTGCAGTGAGCTGAGATGGCACCACTGAACCCCAGCCTGGGTGACAGAGTGAGATTTTGTCTCAAAAAAATAATAATGATAAAAATTGTAAAAATTAAACTAAAAAATAAAAACAATGGCCGGGCACAGTGGCTCATGCCTGTAATCTTAGCACTTTGGGAGGCCGAGGTGGGTGGATCACGAGGTCAGGAGTTCGAGATCAGCCTGGCCAACATGGTGAAACCTCATCTCTACTAAAAATACAAAAATTAGCTGGCGTGGTGGTGGGCGCCTGAAATCCCAGCTACTCGGGAAGCTGAGGCAGGAGAATAGCTTGAACCCAGGAGGCAGAGGTTGCAGTGAGTTGAGATCATGCCATTGCACTCCAGCCTGGGACAGAACGAGACTCCGTCTCAAAAAAAAAAAAAAAAAAATGAAAACAACAACATCACCAATCTTCTTGAAGAATGAACAAATTAAAATTAACACTTCAGATGCTGCAAGGAGGCATTCATTTTAGGAAGTGTAGACACTCAAAGCTAAGATTTTTGGCATTCAATAAAGTCCTAAAGCTGTACCACCAGAAGGAGCTAGAACAGTGCTAAACTTGGGCCCTGCAGAGAGGTCTGGCATTCTGCAGTATAATTATAAACTTCAGTCACAGCATTATCTAGGAAATCTTTTCAGTAGAGATAATGGGTGTCTATTAATGTAAGTAATTTGCTGGATAAGCCATGCATTGACTTGTTGGAAAATATCAGAGATTACATGCTAGGTGTGCAGAAAACATCCTTCAAACTCAGTCCTGCGTGCTGTCCCCCTGGGGGAAATCCATACATTCTCCCTTGAAAGAAAAGTTTGGTTTTCTCTCCTGAGTAGCATGGTTGAAAGGTCTGGCTGAGAATCAGACTTGCAGACATGTTTGGAATCATTGCCTCCTGCCCCTCCCAGCACAGTGACTCAGTGGGCCGTGGGTGATAGTTAAATGATTAATATTTTAGGTGTGCCTGCTAATTGGGGTGCAGTTAATCACAGAATCCTTTTTAAAGAAAAATGTAGTGAAAACTTGGGCTGATTCATCAAAACTTTCCTCTCTGGGTTCATTTCCACAATCTGAATGTCCATCCCAGAGCAGGACATGGGACATGGTTTGGCAGGACAGCCAAACCATTCTTCTCAATACCAATCACCAAACCTTTGCCTGAGAGTGTGGATATGAAGGGCACAGCCTCTACCCTTGAGATCCTTGTGCAGGGAGGAGGCAGAGAGAGGTAGGGAGTGTGCTAATAGACATAGGACCAAACTATGGGAGCCCAGAAGTGAACTAACTCAGGCAGAAAGTGAAGAAAGGCTTTACAAAGATAATATTTGACATGGCACTGATGGATGAGGAGGAGTTTTTTTGTTTTGTTTTGTTTGTTTTGTTTTGTTTTTGAGACGAGTCTCGCTCCGTTCCCCAGGCTGGAGTGCAGTGGCGCCATCTTGGCTCACTGCAACCTCCACCTCCAGGGTTCAAGTGATTCTCCTGCCTCAGCCTCCCGAGTAGCTGGGACTACAGGCGCCTGCCACCATGCCCGCCTAATTTTTGTATTTTTAGTAGAGACAGAGTTTCACCATGTTGGTCAGGCTTGTCTTGATCTCCTGACCTCAGGCAATCTGCCGGCCTCAGCCTCCCAAAGTGCAGGGATTACAGGCATGAGCCACCGCGCAAAAGCACAAGCAAGGGCAGTCTAGGCTGGAGGAACAGCATGTGTGCAAAGGCATCCAGGTGTTTGGAAACATGTAAGAAGGGCAATGTGGCTGAATAGCAGAGGGTATGTGAGATTGAGACCTGTGAAGGCCTCTTAATGAAATGTGAGTGCTCTAGAAAAGGGCCACAGTATCCCCTAAGAATCCCCACTAGGAGCCCTGGGTGGATCCATCCCCATTGCCAGCCACCCTGAGTATGCACAGTGTCTAATCAAAGAGAAGCCACAGGTCCAAGGGTGGAGAATAGGCGTCACTTTGCAGGCTACACGAGGGCCACTTTCATGGCAACTATCAGGGGGACAGGAACTCTAAATCACAAGACAGGAGACCCTGCCAGGCAAAAGCTTGGAGCTGATGTCCCCTCTGCTGAGGCTGAGGTGAGTGTGGAGAATGTCCACTTCTCAGGTCCTTCCTGCAGAAGCCCTGGCCACTCCAGCCACCTGAGGCTCACCAACATGCCTGGGATGCAGAAACAGTATCTTCTGGCTCCACACAGCTCTCTAGGTGTCCTGACAATGTGGCTATGAGGGGATGCTGTTGATCATTTATGACATCAGCAAGAGAACAGCAGGTAAGGTGCCTGGAGGCAGGTCAGAGCCTTTTGTCTTCTCTCAGAAGAACTGGCTGGTGGCAGCAGGGTGTTATCCAAAACAAGTTATTGATGGTTTGGGAAACAATGCTTTTTATTGTCCCAACCAACTCTTCTATCTGGGACACATGCTATCCTGAATGAGACACCAGGAAAAGAGACAAAAATTTGAAGTGTGTTAGACAAACCTAGACTCTCTCTACAATGCTGTTTTCCTCTAAATACTTTTAGACGAAAACTGAGAGTCTCTTGGGAGACCCTCTAGTGAATGGAGCAGCCTGTCTCACCAGACAGGCTTCTGTTTTTCTGGGAGCTCTGAGTGTCTTTCCAGCCTCACTGAAAGTGCAGATGGTTTTTAATAGTAATTAATAATTAAATGAGAGATAGGCCCATCTAGGTAGCACTATACAGAGCAGGGGCACACAAGATGAGAACTTTTATTTATTAATATTGTAGCTATTTTTGGCCGGGTGCGGTGGCTCACGCCTGTAATCCCAGCACTTTGGGAGGCTGAGGCGGGCAGATCATGAAGTCAGGAGATCGAGACCATCCTGGCTAATACAGTGAAACCCTGTCTCTACTAAAAAATACAAAAAATTAGCCGGGCGTGGTGGCGGGCGCCTGTAGTCCCAGCTACTCGGGAGACTGAGATGGGAGAATGGCGTGAACCCAGGAGGCAGAGCTTGCAGTGAGCCGAGATCGCGCCACTGCACTCCAGCCTGGGCAATAGAGCAAGACTCCGTCGCAAAAAAAAAAAAAAAAAAAAAAAAAAAAAGAAAAATTGTAGCTATTTTTAAATTATTTTTCTTAAAAAATGCCAACACACAAGTCTGTAAATTGAAAAGTGAACCTCCCCCTCTCCAGAACGTACCCACTGTTACCGATTTGCAGTTTCCTTCTAGAGCTTGTTCTATGCACATACAATGTCAAGCACATAGTCAGACACAGAAACAGTCAGGAGAAAGGCCAGAACTGGGATAGAGGCACATTTGATGTCAGCTGTTCCTTCCTGTTCAGATTCCCTGAACAGGGAATCTGAGGAGCTGAGAGTGAAGCCCTTGGGAATAGCGAGTGAGGAGTAAAAGTTTCCTATTCCCATATAGCTGAAGGGGGTCACAGTGGAGCATCCCCACAGGGAAGCAGAAATGATGCAATGCTTGGAAACCAGGAGAGGCTGGAGAAGCTGGGTTCATGGAGATGTTGAGATTTCTAAGGCTAAGAGAAGAGATGGGATCAGAGGTACCCAACATGATGTAGAGTCTGAGCCCTAACTGTCCCTGGATCGCTGCAGCATTTTTATAGAAACTGGACAATATGTACTAAAACATTGAAAGTGGCTTCAAGGGTCTAGTAGCTAGGATGCTGTCGGTGGAGGAAACACCAGGGACAATTGACAACACTTATTATCGGCAAGGATATACTGGAACTCTTTTTTTTCTGTTGTTTGTTTTTTGAGATGAAGTCTTGCTCTGTTGCCCAAGCTGGAGTGCAGTGGCGCGATCTCAGCTCACTGCAACCTCCATCTCCTGGGTTCAAGCGATTCTCCTGCCTCAGCCTCCCAAGTAGCTGGGATTACAGGTGTGCACCACCACACCCAGCCAGTAGAGACCAGGTTTCGTCATGCTGGCCAGGCTGGTCTCAAACCCCTGGTGATCCACCTGCCTCGACCTCCCAAAGTGCTAAGATTACAGGTGTGAGCCACTGCGCCCAGCCTGAAACTACTTTTTTCTGTTTTTTTCCCCCAAAAAACCATCTGCAAGTAGTAACTTGCATGTGTTGCTGGTGGGAATGAAAATAATACAGTCACTTTGGAAAAGAGTTCAACTATATTTTACAAAGTTAAGCATACACTTACCAGTGACCACTCATAAATATTGATCCAAGGGAAATGACAATGTATGTCCAAACAAAGGTAATACTCAAATGTTCCCAGCTGCTTTATTCATAATTGTTAAAACCTGGAAACAACCTGATTATATCAAATATATCCATTAACAGGTGAATGGATAAACAAATTGAAGCACATCTATACAATGGAATATCTAGGAGCAATTAAAAAGGAATGGAGTTCTAATGCACGTGACAACATGAAGGAATCTCAAAAGCATTATTCTAAGTAAGAAAAGCCAAATACGCCAGGTGCAGTGGCTCACACCTGTAATCCTAGCACTTTGGGAGGCTGAGATGGAGAGATCACTTGAGGTCAGGAGTTTGAGGCCAGCCTGGCCAACATGGCAAAACCCCATCTCTACTAAAAATACAAAAAAAAATTAGCCGGGCATGGTGGTGTGCGCCTGTAACCCCAGCTACTCAGGAAGCTGAGGCAAGAGAATTGCTTGAACCCAGGAGGCAGAGGTTGCAGTGAGCTGAGATCACACCACTGCACTCCAGCCTGGACAACAGAGTGGGACTCTGTCTCAAAAAAAAAAAAAATTTAAAAAAGGCAAATACAAAATACTACATACTGCATGATGCCATTTGTATGAAATTCTACAAAAAGCAAGACTAGGAAATATAGGAAACAGATCAGCAGTTTCCTGGAGCCAGGAGGCTGAGGGAAGGGATTGACTACCAAGGGGTATGAGAGAACTATCGAGGGTAATAGAAACGTTCTATGTGATGATGATGGTGGTGATGGTACATGACTGTGTACATCTGTCACCAGTCTTCAAATCATACACTTAAAATTGGCAAATTTTACCTCTACTATACCTAAATTTAAAAATTATACTTTACTAAAGCTGACAAAAAAGTTTTAAATTCAAGCCAAAAAAGTGAGAAGGAAATTGATCTCAGGATAAGAAATGGGAGATAATTACAGGTAGATTTTTTTAATTTTTAAAATGAATGTTAGCATGTGTATTTAAGGTATACACACAATGTTATGGGATACATATAGTGAAATGGTTACTATAGTCAAGCAAATTAATATATTCATCATCTCATGAGCACCTATTTTTATTTGTTTGCTTTTGTGGCAAGAACAGTGAAAATGAGGGCTGGTACAGTGGCTTATGCCTGTAATCCCAGCACTTTGGGAGACCGAGGCGGGCGGATCACGAGGTCAGGAGATTGAGACCATCCTGGCTAACACGGTGAAACCCAGTCTCTACTAAAAAAATACAAAAAAATTAGCCTGGCGTGGTGGCGGGCGCCTGTAGTCCCAGCTACTCGGGAGGCTGAGGCAGGAGAATGGCGTGAACCCAGGAGGCAGAGCTTGCAGTGAGCGGAGACCGAGTCACTGCACTCCAGCTTGGGTGACTGAGCGAGACTCTGTCTCAAAAAAAAAAAAAAAAAATTAACCAGGCATAGTGGCATGCACCTGTAGTCCCAGCTACTCGGCAGGCTGAGGCAGGAGAATGGCCTGAACCCGGGAGGCGGAGCTTGCAGTGAGCCGAGGTTGCGCCACTGCACTCCAGCCTGGGGCGACAAAGGGAGACTCCGTCTCAAAAAAAAAAAAAAAAAAAAAAAAAGAATGGCTAAAATCCACTTATTTATCAGGAATCCCAAATATAGTACAATTTTATTTCCTATAATCCTCATGCTGTGCATTAGACCTGGAGCCTTGCTCATCCCACATATCCAAACTTTGTATATCCTCTGACCTACATCTCCCCATTTCCTCTCCTGGTTCCCCCCACCACCCCTAGTATTTGCTGTTTTATTTTCTAACTCTGTATATTTGGCTTCTTTTTTCTTAGATTCCACATGAAAGGGAGATAATGCAATATTTTCCTGAGTCTGGTTTACATCACTTAACATAATGTCCTCCAGGTCCACATGTATTGTGACAAATGGCAGTGGAAGCAGTTTTTAGAAAATCATTAGGGAACAACTTTAAATAAGTACATTTTAAACGTAATGGAAATAGACCATGTTTCAGAAAAATACAATCTAATAAACTGAATCTATAGAAAAGTTATTAACTAGTTTTACTATGCTGGCATAACCCAGAAGCGCCCAAACTGATCAAAGACATCAATGAGTTAGAAGTAGCACAGTCCATGCTACCCTCACTTCTGACACCAAATGTGAGTTTGGGGGTCCTTAAGATCCGTGGGTTTGATAATGCACCAGAGGAACTCGGAACTCACTGACAGCTGTTATGTTCACGGTTATAGTTTATTACAGGAAAAGGATACAGAGTGAAATCATCCAAGGGAAGAGACACACAGGGCAGATTCTAGCAAAGTTCCAAACATGGAACTTCCAGTGTTCTCTCTGGAGAGTCCTGGACAGTGTTGCTTTCCCGGCATCAGTGTGTGGCAATACACACAGCAGTGGCACCCAGAGAAGCTCACCCCAGCCTTGGTGTCCAGAGTCTTTACTGAGGCTCAGTCACGTAACCTGGTTGGCTGCCATGTGGCCCACCTCAGTCTCTGGCCTCTCTAGGGGTCAAGTTAATACTGCTTGGTCTCCACCCAAAATCACACGGTTACTATCTGACTGTACCAATACCATAGTGATTTGAATTGCAATGACTTTATGGTATTTTGAGATGTGATAAGGAAAACTGACTAACACTGATTTAAGCAATACAAACTTTTACTATTCACCTAACAAGATGCTTAGAGGGAGACTGGACGGCATCAGACCAATCCTGCAACGGTGTTAGCCATAAAACTGACTCTGCCTCCTGCTTCACCAACCTCAGCTTGTTGATAGTATGTTCTGCTTTGTGCCTCATGGTCATGACACGACTGCACAGAACTGAGCACTGCAACCAGATCCAAAGGCAGGAAGCAAGAACTCTATGCTTATGAGACTCTGTTTTTTTCTGAGAATAAAAAAGCCTCAATAGACTACTTGTATCTCATTGGCCAGAACTGGGTCATATGCTCATCCTTGGACCAATCACTGGCAAAAGAGGATAGAAATTAATTACAGTTACTGGTTGAGACCAACAATTCATTAGTGTTGGGAGCAAGCCCCCCAAAATCTGGCCATAAACTGGCCCCAAAACTGGCCATAAACAAAATCTCTGCAGCACTGTGACATGTTCATAATGGCCCTAACGCCCAAGCTGGAAGGTTGTGGGTTTACGGGAATGAGGGCAAGGAACACCTGGCCCGCCCAGGGAGGAAAACCTCTTAAAGGCATTCTTAAGCCACAATCAATGGCATAAGCCATTTATGCCTTAAGGGCATGTTCCTGCTGCGGTTAACTAGCCCAACCTATTCCTTTAATTCAGCCCATCACTTCGTTTCCCATGAGGGATACTTTTAGTTAATTTAATATCTATAGAAACAATGCTAATGACTGGTTTGCTGTTAATAAATATGTGGGTAAATCTCTGTTCGAGGCTCTCAGCTCTTAAGGCTGTGAGACCCCTGATTTCCCACTTCACCCCTCTAT
Source organism: Homo sapiens (assembly GCF_000001405.40). Taxonomy (NCBI): domain Eukaryota; kingdom Metazoa; phylum Chordata; class Mammalia; order Primates; family Hominidae; genus Homo; species Homo sapiens. Next base: position 80,401,464 of record NC_000010.11, read on the forward strand.
ATTTCTGTGTGTGTGTCTTTAATTCCTCTAGCGCTGCTGGGTTAGAGTCTCCCCAACCGAGCTGGTCTCGGCACATTAGTCTGAGGTAAGGACCAACTGAGGCCTATTCTCAGAGGAAGGTGATCCCATACCTAAACCCAGTGGCAGGTCTGTTTGAAAGGAATAAGTGGGGAATAACTGTTGGGCAGGCAATTGGGTCTGCCACACCTTAACATTAAAAATACTGCACCAGGGTTTTTTTTTTTTTCAAAATAAATACTTTGAGAGTTCTAGTTTGAGTGTAATTAAATTTATATATTGCCTGTAATCCCAGGTATTCAGGAAGCTGAGGCATAAGAATCACTTGAACCCAGGAGGCGGAGGTTGCAGTGAGCTGAGATAGTGTCACTGCACTCCAGCCTGGGCAACACAATGAGAATCTGTCTCAAAAAAAAAAAAAAAAAAAAAAAAAAAAAAATATATATATATATATATATATATATATATACACACATATAAATTTAGATACTCAATATATTTATGATAATCAAGGTTTTTAAATCAAGAACAAGGTTTTTTTAAATTTGTTTTCATCTTATTTTAAGAACTTTAATCACATTTCTAGTTTCTTTCATATAAGTCCTGCAATTCTGGTTCACCAAAGGCCCAAGTATTTTAGAGTATTTGTCACAATTGTGAATTGAACATTTTTCCACTGTCCATTTATAGGTGCTTATTGGTATTTGCATGTATCCCTTGCATCCTGCCATCTTTCTAAATTATCTCATGAGAAACAATACATTTAATGTTATGGAGCCAAACTGCAAGAGACTTAACCCCATCTCCACTATGTTCTAGCTGTGTGACCTGTGCAAGTTACTCTCTGTGCTCAGTTTCCTCATCCATAAAATGGGTAATAATAACCCTTGTAAAGGTTGTTACAAGGATTAAATAAAGTAGCATATATGAAGGTTTAGAACAGTCCCTGGCATATAATACATTATATATTATAATTTTCTATTATTAGAAAATAATGTTTTATTAATTCCAGTCACTTTTAATAGAATATCTGAGGTTAGTTAGCCAGAAGGTGGCTTATGCCTGTAATCCCGAACACTTTGGGAGGCTAAAGTGGGAGGATCGCTTGAGCCTAGGAGTTCAAGAACAGCCTGGTCAACATAGCAAGACCCCATCTCTACAAAAAAAAAAATAAAGCCAGGTCCAGTGGCTCATGCCTGTAATGTCAACACTTTGGCAGGCTGAGGCAGGAAGATGGTTTGAGCCCAGGAGTTTGAGACCAGCCTGAGCAATATAGTGAGACCCTGTTTCTATAAGATAATAAAATAAAAATTAGTGGGCCATAGTGGCATATTCCTACAGTTCCAACTACTCAGGAGGATGAGGTGGGAGGATTGCTTGAGCCCAGGAGTTCAAGGCTGAAGTAAGCTATGAGCTATGATCGTGCCACTGCACTCCAGCCTGGGCGACACAGCAAGACCCTGTCTCAAAAAATAAAAATAAAGATAAATCATATGATTAGCAAAAGTGATAGTCTTTACCAATGTTTACATAATTTCATTTTTATTGCATTTTTAATACTCCAATACTATGGAGATAAAGGGCTAGTTCCTTATTTAATTGAAATCAACATTTTTCCAGGTAAGAAATTTGCTTTCAGTGTTCGATAAAGAATTTTTATTATATTTAAGTGATTTGCTTTTATTTCTATTTTACTTAGGGCTATGACTAGGAAATTCTACAATTTTAACTGGATTTCTTTTCAGCATCTATTAATATGATAAGCAGTTTTGTTCCTGTTTTCTGTTCATATGGACTAATAGATCTACTAATGTTGACACCCGCTTACAATCCTGGACTAAACTCTACTTGATTATAGAATAGCAAAGCTTGTAATTTCTAAGTTGCTCATTTTTTCACATTTTAACATGTCTGAAATTGGGTCACGCATTACAATTAGTGGTGTCCTATGACTGCTATTGTAGTAACAGATGTGACAGTTGTCATTGCCTGCACACCCGTCAATGTAGTCATAGCTGCTTAGATTGTTGACCCTTCAGTTGAGTTATGGACATTGCTTGTACTCCATGAGTTGACTTTAAATGCTCTATAAAATCTTCTAGGGCCAGGTGCAGTGGCTGACGCCTGTAATCCCAACACATTGGGAGGCTAACAGTGGAGGATCGCCTGAGTCCAGAAGTTTCAGACCAGCCTGGGCAACATGGTGAGACTCCATCTCTATTTTTTTGTTTTTTATTTTATTATTATATACATATTTTTGAGACAGAGTCTTGCTCTGTCGCCTAGGCGGGAGTGCAGCGGCGCGATCTCGGCTCACTGCAAGCTCCGCCTCCTAGGTTCACGCCGTTCTCCCGCCTCAGCCTCCCGAATAGCTGGAACTACAGGCGCCGGCCACCAAGCCCGGCTCATTTTTTTGTATTTTTAGTAGAGACGGGGTTTCACCGTGTTAGCCAGGATGGTCTCGATCTCCTGACTTCATGATCCGCCCGCCTCGGCCTCCCAAAGTGCTGGGATTACAGGCGTGAGCCACGCGCCCGGCCTTTTTTTAAAATTTATTTTTATTTATTTTTATTTTTTTGAGACGGAGTCTCGCTCTGTCGCCCAGGCTGGAGCGCAGTGGCGCAATCTTGGCTCACTGCAAGCTCCGCCTCCCGGGTTCACGCCATTCTCCTGCCTCAGCCTCCCGAGTAGCTGGGACTACAGCTGCCCGCCACCACGCCCGGCTAATTTTTTTGTATTTTCAGTAGAGATGGCGTTTCACCGTATTAGCCAGGATGGTCTGGATCTCCTGACCTCGTGATCCCACCGCTTTGGCCTCCCAAAGTGCTGGGATTACAGGGGTGAGCCACCACGCCCGGCCTCTATTTTTTTAAACAGTAAAATCTTCTAAAATATTACTCCAAGATTTGACACTGAAATGAAAAAGTTTTTGCAAATGCAGAAATTCATAAAATCAGAGCAGTGGAACATAAATTTGATATTAGTAAAGCAACTTTTGTTATCAGAAGAATTACTTCATTTTCCTATATTCTTGCAGAGCAACAATTGAGACACTTATGGAACCTAAGAAAGCTATACATACACACACAAATGAAGTCTATTATGTTTTGCTATTGAGAAACACACAAAAGAATTGTAAGGCACTGGAAAAGTTGCCAAATCTCTTGAAATGGATAAAAGGAATTCCAAAGCAATGAAAGGTTGGTGTCATCAATTCATTTGTTTTGAAGGACTATCATTAAGATGTCAAACATCTTTTTGTCAAAAACTTCTGCTGATGTTGAGCAGAAGGCTATATGGAGCACCCTTTAAGAAATGCTGTGTTACCAATGTTTCTAATGGTCAGAGGATAATATTGTGTGACAAATCCAGAAATCAGCAACTCTAAGTCTAAAAATAGTAAAAAAACAAAAAAACAAAAAAAAAACAAAAAACGAAAGAGTTGGGCTTTGAATGTGAAGATATCTAAGGAATGCCTTATCCTGTTCATTTCACTTATATTTTTTCTTTTTAAGTGTGCACACAGGGATAGATGAGTTGGGAATGAACCTAGACTTAGAGTGCAGTAGTACCCTGGCCACAATGACTGGCCAATCAGTATGAGGATCTGGGTTTTGTTCACTCCTTAGTCTAACTGCCCCTTCCCCATGTTGGATCCTAGGAATCATCCTATGACCATAGGGAGAACCATCCTTAATATGAAGCCAACACATGGATAATGGCAGAGAAGCAAGAGAACCTCGACTGTTGATGACATCATGAAACCACAGGATCACCTCAAGGCAACTGGAATTGGGTTTTCTGTTAACTTGCAAATCAAAGCTTCCTAACTGAATAAAGACTCAGTTAATGTTAGTTGGTAGTGCATGCAATGATGGTTGAGGACACTTGAGACAATCCTGCTTTCTCAACCTGGGGGCAGAATAATACCACCATCTAGCCCTCAGTCAGCCATCGGTTCACCTGGTAAACCATTGGCCACATTTATGGAAGGTTTTAGAAAGAGGTCCCTATTGACTTTGCTTTGCTTTGAGACACACTGTGGAAGTATAGGATTTTTTATGCTTAAAACAAATAAGAAAGAGCTGAATTCAGGGATATTGGCATATAGAGAAAATATTTGAAGCTGATCTATGCACATCTATTTTTGAGATTCACATACAAGTCTTGTTCTTGATTTCGCTTTTACCCATCCACAGAATGGTAACCTGGGCCTGACATATTGAAGTGAAGTATCAGTTTTTGCTCTATTTTCATCTTGATGCTAGCTGCTTCCTGACTGTTCCCAGCGAGCCCAGACACCACAGGGCCATAAGCTTAAAAAGATCATGTTACTTCAGTCACTGCTGAGTAGCAGACGAAGCTGAAGCCAGCTGAATCTAGAAGTGCTATGACGCTGAAAAAGTCAGGAGTCTTTACCCAGATCTGCCTCCTGCAAGCAGTGTTTTCTGCCTGCCCTATGGGACTTGTGAGGGACAGAAAAGTTTCCCAGCCCCTGTCAAGATGGTAACATTATCTAAAGTTATCACAAAGCTTCTAGTCAACCTTAATTTCTACCACCTGAAATTCAGAACCTAAGGCTATTTTACAATCTTTACAAAATTTAAATTATTTTTCTCTTAAAAGCTGGGCAGGTTGGTGGGTTTTCTTGGTTTATTCTTCAGGTTTTTTGTTTTGGTTTGGTTTTTGGTTTTAGTCCTTGAGCTTTGTAAATAAGTTTTCCTGCGCCTGCTTGCCTGTAACTTATTTTTCTGGTCTAATGACTGTTTTTTAATGAGTTCAGCCTGTGCTTTCTTGTACAAAAAGAAACGTGGGCATGTGAGGAGCATATTAATTAGCTATCAGATGTAGCCTGGTTTTTGAAGTCCAGATCTTCAGGATGTTACCGAAGTGTAAATATAAGCATGACTTTTGCACGTGATTAGTAATTACATCACAGTTAAAGCCTCAGGGGACCTTCCACCCCAGAATTCTGCTATCCTCAACCCCTGAATGGCTCTGTCATTAATGGTCAGTCTCCAAGAACTCATTTCCCAAGGAAATGACTTCCTGTTTTGTTCTAAGTGGCCTTCCCTGCAAACCCTCCTCACCTTTGAACTTCCTATTTTGGGATGGAAAGATTGACCCTTCTCCCGCTCCTCTTCACAAGGTAAGGAGAAACAAGGGAGAAGAAAGAAAGGTCCTCTGGAGAGAGATATATGTATCATACATATCTTATACATATATCATATATATCTTATATATCTCATATATATCTTATATATATCTTATATATCATATATATATATATATATATATATATATATATAAAACTACACCCGCATTGCACCAAAGTATACGAAATATTTTCTGGCCTTCAAATCATATGCCTAACTCCTGCAGGAAAACTGCATGGGCACTCAGGCTGATCTCCCTTACCCCACAACTTAGATCCACCTCTCACGTTTTCTAAGTTTATTTCCACGCTGTCCCTGGGCCAGGCTCTAGGGTCCCAGAGGTGAAGTGGAGGAATTCACAGTTTGGTTGAGGAGAGACCCCCTTGAATAGATCAAGCTCCCCAAGTGTTGCTGTAAGTTTACATGGAACATGGAGTCTGAGTGGGAAGTCAGGGAGGTGAATCACGGAAGCCTTTGGACTTTGTACACCTGTGGGCAGCTCCCAGATGAAGGGGGGAAGGTGTTGCAGGCAAATGACCACCTTTGACGGGCGGACATCGGCCTGCTTTGCCACTTCACCTTATGCTGCCCTGTGACTGGTCTTTGCACTGTGTCACCGATATGTCTTTTTTTTTTTTTTTTGAGACGGAATCTCACTCTGTCACCCAGGCTGGAGTGTAGTGGCACCATCTCGGCTCACTGCAACCTCCACCTCCGGGGTTCAAGCTATTCTCCTGCCTCAGCCTCTTGAGTAGCTGGGACTACGGGTGCGCGCCACCACACCCGGCTAATTTTTGTATTTTTAGTAGAGACGAGGTTTTGCCATGTTGGTCAGGCTGGTCTCGAACTCCTGCCCTCAAGTGATCTGCCCGCCTTGGCTTCCCAAAGTGTTGGGATTACAGGCATGAGACACCGAGCCCGGCCAACCACTAATATGTATCGTGAGTCAGCTCTGCTGTCTCTGAAAGTCCAACCTCCTACTTTTTGTTTTTTGTTGTTAAGACAGGGTCTTTTTTTTGTTTTTTAAAGACAGGCTGGAGTGCAGTGGCGCGATCTGGGCTCACTGCAACCTCCGCCTCCCGGGTTCAAGCGATCCTCCCACCTCAGCTCCAGAGTAGCTGGAAATACAGGCACGCGCCACTATGCCTGGCTAGTTTTTGTTTTTTACGTAGAGATGGAGTCTTACTATGGTGCCCAGACTGGTCTTGAACTCCTGGGCTCAAGCGATCCTCCCAAAGCCCTGAGATTACAGGCGTGAGCCAGCGCGCCGGACACAACCTCCTACTTTCATGAAAGAGTGGGCACTTCCAACAGGAGGAGTAAGTGGATGAGCGGTGTGTGACACACCCGCCTCAGCGTCGCCCGGAGTCCGCAAGGCTGCGGCTCACCGTTCTCTGCCCCATAGCTGGCATTGTGGAGTGAAAGGGAACGTGGGTGGAGGATTGAGGTTGGAAATTCTGAATCTGTACATACAGCTTGAAGGGGCTCATCGAATGTGTCGGTCCTTTAGATTCCCCCTGCCCATGGAGGTTAAAAAAAAAAAAAAAACCTATCAAAAGAGCTATTCAAAACCAGGCTGAAGATTGGAAGGAAGTTGGCCAGCCTCGGCTGCAGGACAGGTGCTTCCAGGCTCCATTAGGGGTGTCCAGCGCCTTCTTTTGCCCTAGGCAGCGCCCTGAAGAACGCGTCGGGGCCTCGGTTCGCGGACTTGAGGAGTGGACCGACCGAGCGCTGTGCGTAAAAGGACCGCTGGGGCACACGCCCGAGCGCCACCGGAGCTAGGAGACCGCGGCCCGGAGGTCGGCGAGTCGGGGGCAGGCCCGGAGCTCCTCCCACGGGGGGCGGGGCGGGTCACATGGCGGTGGCGCGGTAGCGCGCGATGCAGCACAGGCTAGAGGCTGCGCAAGCGCGGGGCCCGCCCCTGGGACCCTCCGGGCCGGGCGGTTTGGCCCCTTAGCGCCCGGGCGTCGGGGCGGTAAAAGGCCGGCAGAAGGGAGGCACTTGAGGTAGGTGCTGCGCGCCGGGGCTCCGCGAGGCACGTGATGTCCGTAGGCGGGGCCTGCCGCGGCGTAGGTGGGGAAACTGAGGCAGTGCAGGGCCGGTAGGGTGGGTGCTGGGCTGGTGAGGCGCGCCCCTCGGGCCCGCGCCAACTTTCTTAGGAGCCGCCGCAGCGCTGGCGCTCCCTCCGAGGACGACGACCCTTCCGCCACCCTGCGTGGCGGCCGATGGAAAAACCCTGCGCCCAGACGTCGGAGAACGGAGACGGGGACCCGGCGCTGCTGCGGCGGGCTAGGGCCCCCTCTGTCCACGCCCGCAAGCCTTGAGTGACGCCGGTGGCGCCAACCTTCGCGAATTGTTGGGACAAAGAACAGAGGAGAGGGCCCTGCCCTGGAGCATGGGCCCGGGGGCCGCCCTGCTGGACCAGCCCCAGGTGCGGACCTGGCAGTCCTCGTCCTCGTCTCTGTGCCCGCTTAGGGTCGTGTCTTTTAAGAGGGCACGGTTTCTAGCGTTGTTCAGCGTTTCGGAGGCACCTGTTCCCCCTCTTTCCCAAGAGTCACAAACGCCTGACTTTAAATTGGGTAGAGCCCAGTTGTAAACTTAACAGCCCTGCTGAGGTCTAGGAATGAAAAGATGAACAATCTGCCCCCAGGGTTGTTGCTGGAGCGGGAGGTGAAGGCGCAGGTGGAGATGGTTAGAGGCAAAGGAAGGGAAGTCAAGGCCCAGCCGGTCCAGGGCTGTGGGAAGGAGGCACACCCGGGAGTCCACTGCCGGACCGGGGTTCCCAGCTGCTCCTGCGCCTCTTTTCCTTGCCACATCATGCTGTCTGCACAGCCCAGCAACCCAGAACTCAGCTTTTTTGTTTGTTTTATTTTAATGTATTTTCCTTTGAACCTGGCAGGTGGTTTTTCAAAAAGAAAATAATCAAGATTTGTTTTGAAAAGCATTGTGAAAAAGTCAGCTTGAATAGTCTTGAATGCTCCTGCTCGGGCCCAGCTTTGGAGAATGAGGATTGGGATTTCCACTGCAGACCCCGACTCGTTACCATACTCATTCATCAGAAAACTCTTCATTTTGTGTACAAATAACGTTTTGAGGGTAATCATTGCTCTAGAAATGAAGAATTATACATCGTATTTATTGCACTTTTTGTAAGGTACCTCACAAGGCACCTCCTATACATTTAATCCTTTGATTCTTGCAACTCTGTAGAAGGTAATTAAGGAAGCATTCCCATTTTACTGATGCAAAACAGTTCCTTGTCCAGGTTTATACAGCTTGCAAGAATTAAAGTTAGATATTATTCTTGGTGTGGGCCTTTCCTATATCCCCGTCTTTTATAAGAGCATGTCATTTAGTTGAGACCTTCTGCATTACTTCTGAAGGGGTACAAAAGACATTTCTGATGATTTTCTCATCTCGTGTCATTTAAATGGTGCTCAGAAAGTTTGGATAGGACTGGAACTCTAGGGCTCAAGCCCCAGGCTCTGTCCCTATCTAAGCAATAGGGCAGCTGTCCTGCCAGTTGGGTTCTTGCTTCTTTGTGAAATGTTGAGCAGAAGCTCCAAGTCTCTCTGCTGTGGCTTGTGTGGCAAGAACCATCCTGAGGTTCTGTGCAGAGAGCCAGCCTCACCTTTGAGCTCAGTGGCCTCTGGCACAGGGAAATTACAGCTGGGCAGTGTCCTTTGCCTTCTCTGGCACTGCTAGTGCAGGAGGCAGTGTTAGCTGCTACAGGAATAGCATGGAGCGGGCCTGCAGGCCAGAGGGGCTGAGACAAGCCAGTGTTCCCACCAGACCTAGAACGTTCACCAGAAAGCAGGCCTGCAGTGACACAGCTGCAGAAGTTCACTATTTTGTGCCTGTCCTGCTTCAGATATCCTGTCTTTATAGGGGCACGAGTGAATCTGAGCCCTGCAAAAGAGAGAAAGATAATGCTGCTTTGCCGTTTTCTAGTGCGTTACCGCATTAAAAATTGCTCTTCTTATATAATCTTTATGACAACTCTTTAAAGTGCCCTTGTTTTTAAGAAGACACTGAGGTTCAGAGGGATAAAATAACTCTCAGAGTCAAAGAGAGAAAACCCAGGATTATTGGCTTTTAGCCCAGTGTCTTCTGTGGTATTGCCTTGCCTTCCTATCCACACCCATATAACTTGATGAAGCCGGAGTTCTGAGCCCAGACAGGAGGCTGTGCAAGTGAGATTAGAATGGCTTGCTCTTTGAGGGGTGGGGGGCCCTACAGCTTGAGGAAACAAGAGGACATAATCAGCTACTGGGAAACCCTGAGATACGCCCAAGAGTGAGGAATGTGGGGGCTGGTGCTGCTTTCAGCATCTATTCAGAGGTTTCTGAATCTGGCATTTGAGAGTAGGACTGGGCCAGAACCAGGCAGATACACACCCCAAGGAGCAGGGCTGAGAGTTGGAGACTGAGGCAGGTAGGTGAGAGCTCATTGCAAGTGACTGATTTTGTGGTATATGAAGACAAGGGTGGGTGGAAGGGCATCTGTTGCTCATAAGGCTCTGTGTGCCTGCATCATCAGTATGCTAGACAAGGATGGACAGAGTCTTGTTATTGTGGGGAAGAGAGGTGCAGAATGGCTTCTCAGCGGAGACTAGGCAATGAGACCCTTAAGACATTTGGCTTCAGATTATAAGCTGCTTACCAAGGATTGGGCTTGGGAGAGGCTGATGATGTTCTCTCCAGGCAGCAGATTTCCCAGGCCCTGTTTACGGGCAGTCTTGCTCTTAGCTTGCCTGAGGCCAGTGAACAGGCTTCAAGACCTGCAGGGCCCCACTTCCTGAGCCCAGACTGCCATGCTATTCCAGCCTTAGAGGCCACTGGCCCTTGGCTGGCTGCCCAGGACCTAGCGTGTCTGATGCAGGATAAACAGTCATGGACTGGAAGTTGGGAGACCCAAACCTGAGTCCCAGTGCAGCCACTGACAACCTGCCCTGCCCATGTGACCTTGGACTAGCCAGCTCCTTCTCTGAGCTTTAGTTTCTTCATTTGCTCAGTAAAATGAGCTGAACCAGCGCTTTGAGGGAAGGAGAGGGAAACAGAGGAGACCAGAGAAGGAAGATGAAGCATCCTTTCAAGACTTGTTCACTGAGGGCCTGAGGCAAGGAGGCCCATGTGCACTCTTAGTTTTTTGTCTCCCTCAGCACCTTTTCTTGCTTCTCCCCTATCTCTGCCTCAGGCCAGCTCATTCTGAAGAGGGACGATTCCCTGGGTGGGGCTGGGCTGGGCAGGTGTACCCTTGATGTTTAGAATATGATGCTGTCTCTACTTGTTTCAGACATGATTTAACTCAGCCAGTGCTGATACTTTGTTTCATTAAGACTTTATCAGTTCCTGCCCAGAGGCAGCTCCTGGAACAGTCAGGAGTTAGGCCCAGCAAAGGAGGCAGGGTGAATGTGCACACCCAGCAGAAGAACAGTGGTGGCAGGGGTTCCCATGGCTTTCTAGACATCAGATCCCTGTAGTTGCAGTCACATGGTACTTTAGAGTCTTTGGATGTCAGAGCTAAGACAACCTCATAGAATTTTGAGTTCCTTCCTCTGTATAGATGATGAGATCCAGGCCCCGAGTGTCTTCATACCTTAAGTCAGATTGCCCTGCTAGTGAGCAGTAGAGCGAGGACCCAGCCTAAGGTTACCTAAGTCCCAAGCTAGAGTGTTTTCTTTAATATCAAGCCAGCCCTGTCCAAAATTGCCTTTCATACTGAACTGAAATTGGAATTGAGTAGTTATAAGTTCCAAGTCTGCCTCACTGTGGAATTCTAAGAGTAAAATTCAGATAATTTAATTAACATTTAATGCCTGATAATTACCAGGATCTGTGTTGAGTGCTGGGGATGCAGGAATGAAGACGACAACACATTGTGCCAACATATTGTGGAGACAGACATGTAAATAACTAAAATTTACACAATTCATTTGTGCATTGTGCAGGGTTATGGGTGTGTGCGCACACACATGCACGCTATAGAAGAGGTCAGTGAGCAGTCAGTTGTCAGGGCTTTCAGGAAAGGCTTTGGAGAGGAAGTGTTATGTGTGCTGGGCCTTATGAATAAGTAGGCATTTACGTGGTTGGCCTGGGTCAGAGGGGGGCATCCCGGGCAAAGGAAACAACATGAGCAACACTTGCTGAAGCCAAGCTGTGGAGGGCCCCATCAGCTGGCTTGCTGAGGAGTTTATTGTTAGTGAGAGTCTGAACACAAGGGAAAGGTGTAATCAGGTGGGGGTGTGCTGGGATCGCTCTGACTACGGCTTGGAAAATAAACTATAGAGGACCAGACTAGAACCAAGCCAGATTCATTCTGTGGTTCTTGAAATAGGCTAGGGACAGAGTTATAGGATCCTGGGTTTGGGCAGCAGCAGTGAGGTCGAGAAGAGGATGGGTAGCAGATACATTTTAGAAGATGGACAGAACTTCCTGAGTCGATGTAGGCAGTGAAGGCAAATGAACAGTAAAATGTGAACCCCTGTCCCCCACTGTCCCCCCTCCCTGCCCCCCCATCTACTGAGCCATGGAACTCCAGCAGAGAAATCGACTTTAGTTTTGGATGTGGTACAACCAAGACACCTACAAAACCCCCAAGTGGAAACTTTGGGTCAGAACAGCAATAGGAACTTGGAAGTCAATAACAAAGTGGTGGGAGAAGTGCTGGAAGTCACCCAGGAAGGGAGTGTGGGTTGAGGGAAGCCACCGATGTGGCAGAAAAGGAAGGGAAAGCAAAAGGAGGTAAAGAATAGACAGCAGATGAGGGGCCTCAGAGGTGCCAGCTGACTTTCCAGGCCTGGGGTGAGGAATGGGGCAAGGGAGCAGGCTGCACGAGGAGCCACAGAGAAAAGGACATCTTCTTTTATTTGCGCTAGTATGACATGTGGGCTGTGTTACGAGCTTTGCTTCTTTAGTCTGCACCGGATAGCAGAGGAGTCTGGTGGCACTTGGGAAATGTTATAATCTGCATGACTGCAAATGACTCAAAGCTTTGCTCAACTTTTTGAAGGGCTAGGGGGCCTTGGCAGCTTTCCATTTAGATGTTTTCTGGAGACTGACTGTTGGCAGCTGAAGGAGCCCCAGGGTTTCTGGGTGGCCTGGTCCTGCCTATGGAGTGACTGAGCCTAGGGACCTAGTCCCGCCTCCAGCCCTCCCCTTGCCGCCTGCCCAGGCCCGTCTGCTCACCCCTGGATATACTTCTTTGTCAAGAGAAGCAGAGGTGTGGACGCTGTGTATGGTGAGTGCCTTGTTCCCAAGTTTGAAGCGTCTGAGGTTGGGGGTAAGAGACCGTTTGAGGAAGGGAGTTGCCTTGTATAGGAAAGAGACAGGGTCTCGAAGCTGGAAACTGAATTTGGGGCGGTGGGGGCAGTGTTGAGGAGCCTAGAATGTTCTGACTCCAAAGTGACCTGTTTTTGTTAGACTCATAGGATGTCACTGGGGATCATTAGGAACTTCCTCATGGAGTTGAGAAAAATGGGGCCTGGGGAGGAATTGATTCAGCTTAGCCTAGGGAGCCCGACTGGGTCTCGTCCTCTTGCACCCATGTTCAGACCAGAGCTGCCACTCTGAGCTGCCACAGCTGTTGTTTGTTTGTGGCTTTATCCTACTTCACCTTCTGTGGGAGAGGGTGGATCAGATAAGCCCAGCAGTGGGGAACTGAATGCTATAGCTGTGTCAGGTGGGGGCTGGCTCTTCTGTAAACAACCCTACTATTCTGTTTCAGAGAAACTGACCCTTTCCTTAATGGAAGGGGGGATAGAAAGGGGGAGGAAAGAGAAGGAACATCTGGTGTATGGTAAATTTCCTTTAGAGTAAACATGGTTTGACTGTACACGATGACTGAAAAAACAAGGTGATTAAAAACACATTCTCTTTAAGACAGAGGGAATCATACTCCTGGATCTCCAGGACCGACTTCTTTCTTCTTTTCTTTGTTAATCAACAATTACAGCAGATGTAAACCCACTTCTGAATGTGTGGCGAGGAAAGGTAGTCTTTCAGGCTTTGGAGTCCTATTCCTGTTGACTTGGGTCCAGGTTGTAGTACTGCTGCCTGCTGGCTCTGTGACACAGGGAAGTTACTGAACTCTGAACCTCAGTGTTAGCTGCTAAACAGGATAATCTTTGCATCACAAGACTGTTGAGTGAATGAAATTAGGCCATTACTGACAGCTTCTAAGACGACTGGCTGCAGAGGTACGAAGGATTGCTGGCCTCCATACCTCTGCAATCTTAGAGACCCATGTGAAAATGCATCATTTCTGTTTAGAAATTAAAATTCCTTTGATTGTCCTTTTTTGTGTGTAGGAAAAATTGTGATTTCAGAATTCAGGGTCTGCTCACTGTGCAGCAAGTCACAGTAGTACGTGCTTCAAGACATGCCAGGATGGGAGTTGCTTTGTAGCCCAGGGGACTTGGATAAGAGGCTAGGCCTGTGTGCTCTCCAGGTATTCCTGGAAGTGAATTTTCTGTGCTTCTCTCTGGCACAAGAGTGGGCTGCTAGAGGCCCACTGGGTGCGGTCTGTCCATGGAGAGGCCTGATGCTCACCACTGGTCCTGATAACACTCTCAGCATGGTGCTGCAGTGCCTGAGGATGGGGTCCACTGCCCCAGAGGGCTGAATCTCTGCTCACACTTTCAGGATCACAGTGGGAGGTCAGAAGACAGCACTTATGGGGGTTTTGAGGTCTGGATCTTGTACCCAGCCCTTGAACTTGAGGTATGGAGATGGGGGTCTTTGGAACATAGAGGTTTGAGTTCTCAGGGTTCCTTCAGCACTGACACCTGCCCCAGTCAGCCTGCTGTCTCCCAGCTTAGCTGGCCCCATCCCAGCCTAGCCTGTCCATGCTGCCTCCTGTGTCCTACACCGGCTCCAAAGCCACTTCCTTCTGGGTGCTTCTGTGGCTACCCAGACTGGCTGTTATTCCTGCACCACCATAGCCTCATGCCCATACATTGCCCAAGCTGCCTCACCTTCCCACTTGATATTTTTTTGTTATTTGTGTACCAGGTCCATATTTTCTTGAGGATTGTGTATCATTTTATGTCCTCCCAAATCGCCATTTATTGAACAGGTCAGTACTGAATAAATGTTTGGAAATAAATGTTGAGTCTAGTTGAGTTGAATTCTCTTGTGCCTAGGAGCAAACATGCCAAACGCCCATCACTGGACAGTGGGAAGGTGGAGGCTGTTTGAGTGTGGCAGGGGTGTGTTGGAAGAATGTGGAGCTGACTGTGAGGGGCCCTGGACTTTGTGAATGCACTGATGTGTCCTAGGAGTCAGAGTCCATTTGTGGGATAGATGTAAACTGGTCTTTGTATACTGACGCAGAAATGCCCATCAAATCTGTGATCAGAGACCATTCTATGTGCTCCTGAGTCATAACACAAGTCAGAAATCCAGGAACATTTTGGAAGTGCATAAAGGTACAGAAGTTGTTCCAGGCTCTGGGAAATCTCTTGTTTACAGCAAGCAGATAAGAGCTGTGGTTTTCCTCCTAATTGTTCTGTGAACTGTCATCCAGTAATGTGTAACTTTGTCAAATTAAAGAATTGGAAGCAGGCCTGTGGCAGGTTCTTTCCTGTTTGTCCCAAGAACTTTAGTTGTCCATAAGCCATTGTCTCTGTAATTCAATTCTGTTGAATTCATTTCAGCATGCACTTGTGGTGAGCCTGCTTTGTACCAGAGGTGCGCTGTGCTAGGTATGAGAGATTCAGAGATAAACTGCAGAATGTCACCAAAGGAGAGAAATCTGACAGGTCCAAACCAGTGTGTCAAGCACATCAGAAGAAATGTGGGTGATGTTTGGGCACAGAACTGAGGAGGGGGTGAATCAACACCTCTTGGGGGTAGAAGTGGGAGGCTGGAAGTAGGGGGCTGGCAGAACATCAGGGAAGCCTTCTTAAAGAGGCCTCTGAGTTGTGAAGCACAGAATGAAATAGGATATTCCAGGCAGAGGGGTAGAGATGTGTGCACGTCTGTAATGTTCTGTTCTCAGGGTCTTGGCGGGGGGCCCAGCTCTCCAAGCCCAGACCGCCCTCGTGACTTTACTTTATTCTGGTGGCTGATGGCCAACCAAGCACGAAGTCCTGAATTCTTTGCTCTAACACAATGCTTCTCAAACTTTAACGTGCTTATGAATTGCCTGCCAGTCTGACTAAAAGGCAGTATAAGATTCCTTAGTTCTAAGGTGGGGGTTGAGATTCTTCGTTTCTAGATGGTGCCATTTATTGGTTACATTTTGAATAGTGGGTAGTAAGAAACTCTTCTTTCTCAGCACAGGTCCCTCATGTCAGACTGTTGTACCCAAGCGAGTTAGTGAGAACGCCACACTTTGAGACGAATTAAGAGTCCTTTATTAAGCGGGTGGCCAAAGAGACGGCTAACGCTCAAAATTCTCTCGGCCCCGAGGAAAGGGCTTGATTAACTTTTATACCTGGTTTAGGAAGGGGAGGGGGACTCAGATGCAATAATTCTACAGAAGTAAAAACATGCAAGAATCAAAAGAAGCAAAATGGTTACAGAGAGATAAACAATTTAAAAGACAAATGGTTACAAAAAGAGCAACGGTACCAGGTGCAAGGCTCTAAATCTTTCATTATAATTAGATATAGGGAGTATGTCGGACCCGAACTCAAGGCTTTATGTTGTTATCTCTTTAAGAAAAATCCTGGGAACTTCATACATTGTTGGTGCTAGTACCTTATCAGTTAATTGGGCTCCTTTGAAACGCTGAGGATCTGCTTACACAGGTCAACTCCTTGCGGAAGGGGGTTGGGTAAGGAGCCCTTAGTGTCTTGTAAATTAAGGGGTCAATTGGAGTTTGTCTGGCTTTCCCAGCTAGAAAGAGTCTTATTTACAGGAGAAGCAAGGCTAGGTGATTAAAGAGACAAGCAGGATAAAATTCAAAGTAGCGAGTTAGAGTAAAAACAAGGTTAGGCATTTCAAGACAACCATAGCAGCACCCCCTTCCCCAACACACACAGGCACTGATTTTCCCCTTCTTTTTCCGCTTCCCAAGTATATAGATGCCAAATTCCTCTTTCTTAGATGTTGTTTTTTGTTTGGTTACCCCCGTTACCTGGAACTTCTTTTCTTCTTCTTCATCTTTTTTTTTTTGTTTTTTTTTTTTTAAAGACAAGGTCTTGCTCTGTCACCTAGGCTGGAGTTCTGGGCTATAGTGATCCTACCACCTCAGCCTCCCAAATAGCTGAGACCACAGGCGTGTGCCACCATGCCCAGCTAATTTTTTATAGACAGGGTCCTCCCATGTTGTCCAGGCTTGTTTCAAACTCCTGGGCTCAAGCAACCCTCTTGCCTCAGCCTCCCAAAATGCTAGGATTACAGGCAGGAGCCACCGCACTCAACCAAGGTTCTCTCTTATTCCTTTTTTTTTTTTTTAATTATTTTAGATTCATGGGGTACATATGCATATTTGTTACATGGGTATATTGTGTAGTGATGGAGACTGGGCTTTTAGTGTACCCGTTATCCAATAGTGACCCTTATACCTGATAGGTAATTTTCACCCCACCCTCCCCTCTTCAGCTGTCCCCAGTGTCTGTTATTTCTGTCTTCATGTCCATGTATACTATTGATTAGCTCCCACTTGCAAATGAGAACACGTGGTATTTGATTTTCTGTTTCTGGGTTAGTTCACTTAGGATGATGGTCTCCAGCTCCATGTTGCTGCAAAGGACATGATTTCGTTCTTTTTTTATGGCTGCCTCTTTTGTTTCTTAAATCTGAATTTCCATGTGGCTTCAATGCTAGTCTGGCCTACCCTTTCCTTCCCAAAGTCACCACCAACTCACTCCCACCCCCACCTCATGCAGTGCACCCCTCACAGCCCCCACCCTTGGCAGTGACATTTGGATTTCCAGGGCCTTTCCTGATCCTTTAGAGACATCCTCTCCCGGCCAAGTCCTGCAAGGGAGACTTGAGTCAGAGGTTCGATGGGCTGGGGTGAGGTGGGCCACACAATTACCACACCCACTCCCAGGCCTATTCCCGGTGATCTAAGCACACAGAAGCAGGCTGGTACTTAGGGAAGAAGGCACCAGTGTATGCCAGAGCTTAGGATGGCGTGAGGACCAAATGGAAAGATAGATATTGTAAGTGGTTGTTGGGAGAAGGAAGGCTGGAGGTGGGGGTACTTTGTGGGCTGCTTCCAGGAGCTCCCACCCACAGGCACAAGTCTTCCTAGCTGGCAGAAGAAGCCAGGAACAAGGCTGAATTCTGACAGAACCCGCCTGGAGCTCCATTTCAGTTGCAGAGACCTTTATCTTATGCAGCTGTCTTTTGCCCAGCCTCCTCTGCAGATGCCATAGGACCTCCTCTTTCTTTTCTTTTCTTTCTTTTTTTTTGAGACTGAGTCTTGCTCTATGACCAGACTGGAATGCAGTGGCACAATCTCAGCTCACTGCAACCTCCGCCTCCCGGGTTCAGGCGATTCTCCTCCCTCAGCCTCCCAAATAGCTGGGATTATAGGCATGCGCCACCATGCCCAGCTAATTTTTGTATTTTTAGTAGAGACAGGGTTTCACTGTGTTGGCCAGGATGGTCTCCATCTCTTGACCTCGTGATTCACCTGCCTCGGCCTCCCAAAGTGCTGGGATTACAGGCATGACCCACCGTGCCCTGCCAGGACTTCCTCTTTCTTTTTTTTTTTTTCTTTTTTTTTTTTGAGACGGAGTTTCACTCTTGTTGCCCAGGCTGAAGTGCAATGGCACGATCTCGGCTCACCGCAACCTCCGCCTCCCAGGTTCAAGCGATTCTCCTGCCTCAGCACCCCCGAGAAGCTGGGATTACAGGCACGCACCACCACGCCCGGCTAATTTTGTATTTTTAGTAGAGATGAGGTTTCTTCATGTTAGTCAGGCTGGTCTCGAACTCCCGACCTCAGGTGATCCGCCCACCTCGGCCTCCCAAAGTGCTGGGATTACAGGCATGAGCCACCGCGCCCTGCCAGGACCTCCTCTTTCTGATATAACACCTGCATTTGTTTGGCAGACATCTGTGTAGTTCTGTTCACAGGAGAAAAAAGTCAGATTACTAAACACCAGTGTTTAACAGTGGCCATCAGTAGGTGGTAGCTTCAGAGAGTATTTGCTTTCTTATCGACTATGGTTTCATGTATTCTCTGTTTTGTTTTTTACTATAAGCATATTTTGTTTTTATATAAGGGAGAAATAAAGCTCTTCTCAATTGGGAGAAATTACTGCCTGCCTATAATGAATGAGGCCCTGCTGGGCACTGGCTGGGGGCTTGATGAGTAGGATATGGTCCCTGTTTTTGGAGGGTCGTCAAACTAAAGAGGAAAGAAGATAGGGGAACAAAACAGTGCGGTTGGTGTTCTAAGTATCCTCTGATCACAGAAGAGAAAGCTGCCCCTACCCAGGGACATGATCCTGAGCCACCTGGATTGTGAGGGAGAATCAGGCATTGATGAGGAGGGGAATGAGGAAGTAGTCTGCCTACAGGGGACATAGCTCGGCACAGCTCCACAGAGCTAGGGGCTGCAACTTGGGGCATGAGAAGAGAGAGCAGCAAGAGAACCATTTGAGAAGGCTGTCCTTTCTCTGTCATCACTCCTGATGCCCTGGTGAGCTCCACGGTGCAGGAACCTCCATGTGTGTGCTGCATCCCCAAGTTCTGGTGGCAGCAGGTGCTTAGCAGCCCTTGTCCAGTCTCGCCTGTGACACTGCTGCTCCCTTCCCCTGTCCTGACCTCCTGGTTGGCTGTCCTGCCAGAGCCTTGCCTGGAAGATGAAATTCCAGCTACCCTGTGGGAGCAGTAACGCCTTCTTCCTTCTTCTCAATCTCCAGAAATGTCTTTCCTCCAGGACCCAAGTTTCTTCACCATGGGGATGTGGTCCATTGGTGCAGGAGCCCTGGGGGCTGCTGCCTTGGCATTGCTGCTTGCCAACACAGACGTGTTTCTGTCCAAGCCCCAGAAAGCGGCCCTGGAGTACCTGGAGGATATAGACCTGAAAACACTGGAGAAGGGTAAGTGGTGACCCTTCAGGTCTCAGTACTTTTCCAAGGAGCTGGGATACAGGCTTACTGCTTTCTTTCTAAACTCTCTCCTTTTTTTAATTGAAAAGATAATATAACAACATTAGGAAAAATTTAATAACAATTTTTAAACTAGGAATAATTCTGTTACCCTAACACAGTAATTTTGATTTTGGCATATTCCTTTCCATGTGTACATATTACGTAGTTGTGCTTGGCTTAGGTGCTGTTTTACATTTTAGCTTTTCTTATCAAAAGCATTTCTCATTCTCTGTTGTTGTCTCTGTAATTATAATGATAAATTGCTCCATAATATTTAGTAATAATTACAATCTTTTACTAAACCAGTGCTTCCAGAGTGTATTCTGAGGAATTCCAGGCTTGTGGGATCGTCAAACTAAAAGGAGTTCCTGAGTGAACAAGTATGGGAGACACCTTTTATCCAATTCCATGCTCCTGATGCTCAGCACAGACATATGCTTATTAGAATGAGGTGTCTGGATTGCTGCTGATTCAGGCATGGCCAGCCCCTCCCTGTGAAGAAGCTGTGGTGTCTGAGGAATCACTTCAAGGTCACCCGTTAGAGCAGACCTGCCTATCTCCCTCTTCTGGGGGACTGCTAGAATCCATTGTGGACAGCTTAGAGCCACACACCCAAATGTGTTAGCTCTGCCTCCTTGCTGTGTGCTCTCAGTGTTAGAGCTGTAGCTTGGTGGGATTTCAGTCATGCCAGTGGTGTGGCAAGAGAGTTGGAGTGGTGAAGGTCTCATTGATGGCGTGGTCACCATGTTAGCCCCCCAGGTGGAAGTCATCGTCATCTGTTTAGTAAGTAAGGAAGCTTGCGAAAGGAAGGCAGGAGATTGTGCAGGTTTATAGTAGGTCACCTTAGTAAGATACTAGGAGAGAGAGAGACCTGTTAAGCTTTGTTCAACCCAGGGTTTCCCAATCTTATTTGATTACAGACTCTTCTCCCCACCCTCTCACCCACCTGACCCCATTTTTTTTTTTTCCACATAACATCTACGGGAACATGGATCCCTCTGGGAAATACTAAAATAATTAAGGGCTCATATTTATTGAGCCCTCACCAACTCTATATTACCAGACATTGTGGTGAGCACTTTTATATTCATCTTTCA
This sequence comes from Homo sapiens, assembly GCF_000001405.40. Classification (NCBI taxonomy): domain Eukaryota; kingdom Metazoa; phylum Chordata; class Mammalia; order Primates; family Hominidae; genus Homo; species Homo sapiens. The sequence continues at coordinate 80,421,794 of NC_000010.11, forward strand.
ATATGCCCTGTGGCCCAAAGTGGAGCTACTAGATATTTGCATTTTACAAATGAGGAAGCTGAGGTTCAAAGAGCAAAAATAACTTGCCCAGAGTTACACAGCTAGATTCAGATTCAGTTGGACCTTAGAGCTGGGCTTGTTGAACTACAGTACTGTACTACCCCAAAGCATTTTATTCCTAGGCATCTTCTATCCTCTCCTTCGTTAATAATATTGCAGGTAACATATTTAGGTTAAAAATTTGAGACTTTTTCAGTTTGGGCCATGTTTCTGTTCTGAAGGATTATTATACAATATCTGATGACATCAGCAATAGACAAAATGGCCATTTTTCCAGAAATGTCCCACTTCTGAATGTTCAGGTTAGAAAAAAGATTTTCATGGTGGGAGGGACCTACCGGGTATATAACAGGATTCTTAAGCTTGGTTAACTTTCTTCAGGAAGGTGTGTATTCTGTCTGTCTGTGTTTCCTGTGTGTCTTTTCCCACGTGTGAAATGCCTGTCCAGGTCCTCTACTAGGCCGGGTCTCTGACCTTGGCTGGACTTAGTGTGGTTCATGAGCTGCTTAGTGATTGGGGCTGGGCTGGGAGGAGATATCGAATTTCTTTTTTTCCTCTCTTAGAACCAAGGACTTTCAAAGCAAAGGAGCTATGGGAAAAAAATGGAGCTGTGATTATGGCCGTGCGGAGGCCAGGCTGTTTCCTCTGTCGAGAGGTGAGTGCAGATGAGGATCTATTCAGAGAAAGGGATCCTGGCAAGTAGGGGCCATTGTTTTCCGGCCAGAACCAAGGGTCGGTAAGCCAGCTTTAGCCTTTTACCCACATGTTCTGTTCTGTTATTTGCTCTAGGTATTTCTTTGATTTGTGCTCTTTTTTTTTTTTTTTTAAACAACTCACCCTCTCCTACTGGGGTTAGCAACACATCTCAGTTTCCCTTAGTACTCCCAGGCCTTTCACCCTGTGCTGTACCTTCTGAGTCCTGGACCATATTCCAATTTAATCAGGGGCAGTGACCAGGTCCAATTCCATGCTTCTGATGCTCAGCACAGATATATGATGTGCCTGGATTGCTTCTGATTCGGGTGTGGTCAGTCCCTCCCTGTGATGAAGCTGCAGTGTCGGAGGAAACACTTCAAGGTTACCTATTAGAGCAGACCTGCCTGTCTCTCTTTCCTTGGGGAGCTCTTAGAGTCCATCGTGGACAGCTGAGAGCCACATTCTCACATGTTAGCTCTGCCTCCTTGCTGTGTGCTCTCAGCATTGAATCTGTAGCTCAGTGGGATTTCAGTCATGCCAGTAGTGCATTTGGCATGAGAGTTTGTTGAAAGTTGGAGCTCACTGACTGGGTGGTCTCCAGGTTGGCCCCTCGAAGGGAAGACATCATCTATTTGTAGGTGATGGAGCTTATCAGTGGAAGGAAGGAACTGTGATTGTTGAAACACAAAATGCTAGTGTGAGAAGGAACATTGCCACTACTTGGATCTAGCCTTGTCCCTTTATAGGTAGGCAAACTGAGGACCAGAGTGGTTAGTGGTCTGTTTGTGGTCACACAGCCAGTCAGTGGCAGAAGACCCAGATTCTGAAATTACTGCCCTGCCTGGGAGAAAACTGGGAATGACAGTATTCCTGCTCTTGAGACAACTTTGCATCTCAAGCAGTGGCTGTGGCCCTGTCCAAATTGTCATCCTCATTCTCCTGGTTCCCCTCCCTGACCCTGAGACACCACCTTTCAGCCTTGCTGATCTCTCCATGCTTGTGTGGCTGGGCTGGTGAAGAATCCACTTGCACTGCTGGATGCATGTGATGCCTGCAGTACCCTACCCCCAGGGCACTGTGTGCCTGCTATCTCAGTGGGTCCTCACCATAGCCCTTGGAAATACAGCTTGTTTTACTCTCATTTTATTATTCTCATTACAGAGGAGGAAACAGTTACAGAGGTTGTAACAAAGCCACCCGGATCGGGGAGATGTATTAATTTTCTGTTGCTGTAACAAATTACCTCAAACTCAATGGCTTTAACCAGCACAGATTTATCTTGTAGTTCTAGAGGTCAGAATTCCAAAGCGGAATCTGGTTGCATTCCTTCTGAAGACTATAGGGGAGAATCCATTTCTTTTGCCTTTTCCAGCTGTTAGAGGCCACCTATGTATATTGGTTTATGGCCCCTTCCTCTATTTTTAGGTCAGCAATGGCTGGCAAGTCAGCAACAGCATGGAAGCCTGTTTTGACTTGATTTCTCGGGGCCATTAAAATCCAGAAGGTTCCAAGAGCAACAGCTCTCCCTAATTATAACCTGTTTCCCTCTGTACTGGTCTGTGCCCACATAGAACATTTAGTGGAAACTTACGTTTCCAAAAAGATGGGTGGATGGCAATCTGAGTTATTTTGAGTGGCCCAACTAGGAGGTATGTGACTCAGTTTCCACGTCATGGCTTTGTATAGTGCCACACCAGGAGTAAAGAGCCAGGAAAAGTGAGTAAGACCTTTCATCTCAGCCAGGTGCAGTGGCTCATGCCTATAATCCCAGCACTTTGGGAGGCTGAGGTGAGAAGATCACTTGAGCCCAGGAATTTGAGACCACCCTAGGCAACATAGCGAGACCCTGTCTCTACAAAAAAAAAAAAAAAAAAAAAAAAAAAAATTAGCCAGGCATGTTGGTGTGCACTTGTAGTCCCAGCTTTTCAGGAGGCCGAGGGAGGAAGATTGCTTGAGCCCAGGAGTTCAGGGCTACAATGAGCTATGATTGTGCCACTGTAGTTGGGCAACAGGGCAAGACTCAAAAAAAAAAAAGGCCAGGTGCAGTGGCTCACACCTGTACTCCCAGCACTTTGGGAGGCCGAGGCAGGTGGATCACTTGAGGTCAGGAGTTCAAGACCAGCCTGGCCAACATGGCCCATCTCTGCTAAAAATACAAAAAATTAGCCAGGTGTGGTGGTGCGCCCCTGTAATCCCAGTTACTTAGGAGGCTGAGGCGTGAGAATCACTTGAACCCAGGAGGTGTAGGTTGCATTGAGCTGAGATTGTGCCACTACACTCCAGCATGGGCGAGTAGCGTGGGCGACAGAGCAAGACTCCATCTCAAAAATAAAAGACCTTTCATATCACAAAAAGGTGGTTTTTGATTATATCAAACACTGTAGTCCTCTGCTCTAGGGCAAAATTTGCCAGTCAGTAAAACTCTTGATAAATGTATTGTAATCAATTCTGCCTCATTAGTTGTTTTTTTTCTTACTCTAGAAAATAAATGAAAAATTAAATGTAGTTGCAACCATACAACAGCATATTTGTATTGGAGATGAGTAGACTGCATTTAAAAGGATTTTTGCTCATTCTTTAATTCTGACACCAAATGTGAAAAAAGGATTGAGTTCTTAATGTTGAAGCTTTACCATGACTCATGCAGTTTCCCTCATTCATCTAGCACACAGTTCCTGAGAGTCAAGGGTATCTGCATCTCAGCTCAGCTGCATTCTCCCCATTGTCCCCCTTCAAATCTTTCCACCTGGTATTTAGCACCTGTTTTATACCCAGCCATGTTCTAGGCACTGAGGGTTCCAAGAAATGGAAGACATAGTTTCTAACTATTAGAAACATTTGGGAATGTAAGAGACAACACTCAACTTAGTGGTAACATGCAGACTCAGTACAGAAAATGTCACCAAACAGGGAAGATAGGATATGCACAGAGAAGCAGGGCTTTACTTCAGGGTGGACTAGCCAGGGAGATCTTTTTAGAACGGGGATACCTTTCCAGAGGGTAGGGTTGAGCTGAAGAGAGAAGGAAGGTTATGGCTAGAGGAGCGTGTGTCTGCTGGGCCCTTGTGTTAGTTTGGTCTAGTGCAGGGAAGGGGCTGGGAGATGATGTAGGAGAGAAGCATTGTGGGCAGGAGGAGAGGATGTGTTTGGGTATGGCTGCTCCCAAGCTGTGGTTAGGACAGCCATAACAGGAGCCTTGCCTCTGCTTTCCACTGGAGAAGACAAGGAGCCTGGGCTGCAGAGGGAACCTGACACCCTATGTGGAGGCCCACAGCCAGCTGGGACAGATGTCCCTGAACCCTTGTGTCTTCTACAGGAAGCTGCGGATCTGTCCTCCCTGAAAAGCATGTTGGACCAGCTGGGCGTCCCCCTCTATGCAGTGGTAAAGGAGCACATCAGGACTGAAGTGAAGGATTTCCAGCCTTATTTCAAAGGAGAAATCTTCCTGGATGAAAAGGTGTGTGTGATGGGAGGCTTTTAGACACAGACTGCTGGGGATTGTGCTCAGCTGTGTGATAGTCAGGTGGCCCAGGTATGTCTGGCCTGGAGCTGGAGGCTGGCCTTCCCTTCAGCTGTCCTGAACTTGCAAGGCCTTTTTCAGCCCCCTGAGCAGAGCATGATCAGACATTTTAAAGCTGTCCTCTCAGTTACAGACAGTCCCTGACCATCTGGTGGTTTGACTTAACGATCTTTCAGCTTTGTGATGGTGCAGAAGTGATAAGCATTTAGTTTCTACATTTCTTCAAGAACCCATACAGCCATTCTGTTTTTCACATTCAATATTCAATAGACTACATAAGTTATTCAACACTTTATTTTAAAATAGGATTGTGTTACATGATTTTATTCAACTGTAGGTTAATAAGAGTGTTCTGAGCATGTTTAAGGTAGTGTAGGCTAAGCTATGAGGTTAGGTGTATTAAATGCATTTCAATATAAGATATTTCAACTTATGATGGGTTTGTAGGGACATAATCCCATTGTAAGTTGAGGAGCATCTGTATTACTTAAGTCTTTCCTGCCATGTGAACTGGGAGAGTAGGAAATAGCTGAAACTCCAACAGGTTCCTCCACTGTTGGGGGCCTAGTACAAAGCCCCACACCCTGTCCCTTAATTCATTTATTTCTTTCTCTTCTGCTCCCACCTCTGCAGAAGGTAGCACTGTTACCATCCTGTCAGGTGGAAGACTAGTGAGAAGGTAGAGTCAGAATTGAAAGCTACGGATGTCACCCTAGGTCAGGCCTACCTTGAGGTCTGAAACTGGACCCAGCAGGGTTCTGTTTTCTTGGCAGTTGAGAGTGGACCTGGATTGGCTGGGCATGGTGGCTCATGCCTGTAATCTCAGCACTTTGGGAGGCCGAGGTGGGCAGATCATTTGTGGTCAGGAGTTCAAGACCAGCTTGGCCAACGTGGTGAAACCTGTCTCTACTAAAAATTCAAAAATTAGCCAGGCATGGTGGCAGGCACTTGTAATCCTAGCTACTTGGGAGGCTGAGGCCAGAGAATTGCTTGAACCTAGGAGGTGGAGATTGTAGTCAGCTGAGATCGCGCCGTTGTACTCTAGCCTGACTGACAGAGCAAGACTCCATCTCAAAAAAAAAAAAAAAAAAAGAGTGGACCTGAATGTGGGCAGTGTGTGTGTGTTGGGTGGGAGAGAAGACTGGAACCAGCAGCCTTTTGAGTCTTTGCCTGAGAACCAATGCCCCGTCAGGAGCGTTTCCTCCTTGAGGAAGGCAGGCATGTAGAGTACTCATATGGGATCTGTCTTTCTCACTCCATAGAAAAAGTTCTATGGTCCACAAAGGCGGAAGATGATGTTTATGGGATTTATCCGTCTGGGAGTGTGGTACAACTTCTTCCGAGCCTGGAACGGAGGCTTCTCTGGAAACCTGGAAGGAGAAGGCTTCATCCTTGGGGGAGTTTTCGTGGTGGGATCAGGAAAGCAGGTGAGTTCTTGGTGTTTACTTGTGGTCTGTAGGTGTCTGTGTCTGTGAGTGTGAGACTCCAACCAGAAGCTGGAGTGGGGGTTGACTTTCCCTGTTTTGGGTCTCCTAGCCTTCCTTCTAGCAAGCCAGGGAACATGAAGAAGGGAAGGGAAGGCAGTTGTTGTTTATCACACATCATTCTCTGCTAGTACCTCATACTTGAATCTACTCACTCATCACAGTGACATCATGAGACAGTTTGATCATTTTGCAGACAAGGAACTTAGAACTGAAAAGGGATGAGCAGCTGCACAAGGAGCACAGCTCATCGGTGGCTCTGCTAGGCCTGAACTCAGGTTTGCTGACTTTAAGTTCAAGGAGCACAGCTCATGGGTGGCACTGCTGGGGCCTGAACCCAGGTTTGCTGACTTTAAGTTTTGTTTTCTGTGCTTGAACAAAAGCGTAGTTTTATTCTGTTTTTGAATTTACTCTCTTGCAGTGTTCCAGGCCACCATGGATGGATGATAGAAAAAAAAATAAGAGGAGAAAATAAGGAATAGAACCAGGCGTAATTAGGGGAAGTGGCAAGGAGGTTGCGGGGAGACGATGCTTTTTTCTGTGGGGATCTTGGTGTCAGGGCTGGCCTAGGAAAGGTATCTGACTCCTCTGCAAACAGGCTATTATTATAGGTCCTGGCTGTGAGGCTCCACAAGCAGCATGGAGCCCTAGGGGAAGGTGTGGAAAGGAGGAATGGGGTCTCTATAGGCCCAAGAGCCAGGTAGGCAGTTGTTTGTGTCAGAGTCTAGGCAGCCTTGAGCCATGGTGGTTCCCCTGCCCTGGAGGGCAGTGTCAGCAGAGGCCAGGAGGATGTGTAGCAGGGATGGAGCAAAGTGGATGAGGGGGCTGGGCGCGGTGGCTCACACCTGTAACGCCAGCACTTTGGGAGGCCAAGGCGGGCGGATCACTTGAGGCCAGGAGTTCCAGACCAGACCAGACTGGCCAACATGGCAAAATCCCATCTCTACTAAAGAAAAGCTTAAAAAATTAGCCGGGTGTAGTGGTGCGCACCCATAGTCCCAGCTACTTGGGAGGCTGAGGCAGGAGATTTGCTTGAACCCAGGAGGCAGAGGCTGCAGTGAGCTGAGATTGTGCCACTGAACTCCAGCCTAGGGGACAGGGCAAGATTCCATCTCAAAAAAGCAAGTGGATGAGGGAAGGGTATGGGAGAAGGACCTGGAAACTGGTGGCCTGACTTCTAGGCCTGTCTCTGTCAATTTTGGACATGACATTAACGTGTAGAAAGTGTTTTCTTTCTGTAGAAAGATGGGGTTTATCTGCATTGTTGGATCTCACTATTAATGTTGATAATTACATACTCTTCCCAATTTGGGAGGAATAAAAGGGAATAGAAATCCTTCAAGTTTAAGCTTTATTTCTTTTTTTTCAGATGGAATCTCACTGTGTTGCCCAGGCTGGAGTGCAGTGGTGCGATCTCGGCTCACTGCAAGCTCCACCTCCTGGGTTCACGCCATTCTCCTGCCTCAGCCTCCTGAGTAGCTGAGACTACAGGCACCCACCACCACACCCAGCTAATTTTTTTGTATTTTCAGTAGAGACAGGGTTTCTACTCATGATCTGCCCGCCTCAGCCTCCCAAAGTGCTGGGATTACAAGCTCACGCCTGGCCTGAGCTTTATTTCTTATGTCTTCCTTTTACAGCTTGGTAACTGATTCGCTTGACTATATTAGAATTTAGCATAAAATGGTGTCTGATTTAACATAAACCTATTTGCTAATTTTCTGGTAAATCTGTCAAAGTGTCTTAGTAATAATGGTTTCCAATGAGTGCCTGTCTTGTTCTACGTGCTCAAGTACATGGTCTCATGTCTTCCTCACAACCAGTCTAGGATGTTAGGCATTTTTATTCCCATCCACATATACAGCAGTTGGCCTAGAGATTTAAAATAACTCAGCCAAAGACACAGCTAAGTGGTACAATGGAAATGAAACTTAGGAACTCAAATCTGTCAAACTCCAGAGACCCTTCCCGGCCCGGCCCTGCCCTGCCCCGCCCCGCCCCTAGCCTCTCCTGCCCTGCCCTGCCCCTAGCCTCTCCTGCCCTGCCCTGCCCTGCCCTGCCCCTAGCCTCTCCTGCCCTGCCCTGCCCCTAGCCTCTCCTGCCCTTCCCTGCCCCTAGCCTCTCCTGCCCTGCCCTGCCCCTAGCCTCTCCTTGGAGGTGTTTCCCAGCGACCACTTCCTGATGTCCTTATGCTTGGGCAGGCCACTTCCCCAGTGGATTGCCCATCCTCTTCCCACTCTGACAACGTGGGGTTCCTTCCCCTACCCGCCTCTGCCTTCTCATGGCCTCTAGGGCAGGGCTTGGCATGCCTGCCAGCCTTTTCTTGCCTGGCGATGACTCATCTGGTGCTCATGGGCCCTACTGGCATGTTTCTGATGTTGCTAGGTGTGTTTGACTTTTGTTCGTATTCCCTGGAGCCCCTGGCCTTCATTCTCCTAGGCGGAAGGTTAACTGGCTAGCTGAACTTCAGGACTTACTTCAGTTCTTGTTGGGTGTAGAGTTTTTGTAGTCTAAAATTGGGGTGGTGGGGATTTCCTTTTTTTTTTTTTTTTTTTTTTTTTCTGGAGACAGAGGTTCACTCTTGTTGCCCAGGCTGGAGTGCAATGGCACGATCTCAGCTCACTGCAACCTCCACCCCCCCGGGTTCAAGCGATTCTCCTGCCTCAGCCTCCCGAGTAGCTGGGATTACAGGTACCCGCTGCCATGCCCAGCTAATTTTTGTATTTTTAGTAGAGGCAGGGTGTCACCATGTTGGCCAGACTGGTCTCAAACTCCTGACCTCAAGTGATCTATCCACATTGGTCTCCCAAAGTGCTGGGATTACAGGCGTGAGCCGCCGCACCCTGCCTGAATTTTCTTTTTAATAATAATCTTGAAAGCATTCTTAAAGAAGAAGCAGCTGGGCAACATAGCAAAACCCCATCTCTATAAAGAATAAAAAAGTTTAGCCGGCGTGGTGACATGCACCTGTAGTCCTGGCTACTTGGGAGGCTGAAGCAGGAGGATTTCTTGAGCACAGGAGTTCAAGGCTGCAGTAAGCTATGATCGCACCACTGAACTACAGCCTGGGAAACAGAGCAAGACCCTGTCTGTAAATAAATAAATAAAAAGTGTGTTTGCACTACAGAAAATTTAAAAACAGCAGAACATAGAAGGTGGGGAAAACCATCCTATGAGCTCAGCCACCGTGGAAAATCCACTGGAACAAAGCTGAATGGCCTTTCCTTTTGTTTTGCTTTGCTCTAGAAAATTGTACTAGATGTTCTTTTTTCATTTAACAGTATATTGTGAACATTTTCCTATGTCACTATATATTGTTAGTTTTTTGTTCGTGTTTTTGTTTGTTTGTTTGTTTAGATGGAGTCTTGCTCTGTCGCCCAGGCTGGAGTGCAGTGGCGCGATCTCGGCTCACTGCAACCTCCGCCTCCCAGCCTCCCAGGTTCAAGGGATTATCCTGTTTCAGCCTCCTGAATAGCTGGGACTAAAGGCTTGAGCTACCGTACCTGGCTAATTTTTGTATTTTTAGTAGAGACCGAGTTTCACCGTGTTGGCCAGGCTGGTCTTGAACTCCTGACCTCAAGTGATCCGCCCACCTCAGCCTCCTAAAGTGCTGGGAGTACAGGTGTGAGCCACAGCACGCAGCCTATTAGTATTTTTAATGTCTGTATTATGGTTTACTGAGCAAGTAAATATAATTTTCTGATCTGCTTGCCCATAATCTCTGCAGTGTGGTGGGCCTTTTTTTTTTTTTTAAGTCTTTATAAATAATGACACAGTGTATTTACAGATTTTCTTTTTAAGATGAGTTTCCAGATGTAATGAATCAAAGAACTCTAACAAGGATTCCTTGATGCTGATCTCAAACATGTTATTTTGTCTTTTTTTTACTACCTCCAACTTTAGATAACTTTGGGGTATCTTGTGTCTTAGTGCATTTTTTTTCACTGTATGAGAAGAAAGTGGCTTCCAGTTTCTTAGAAGACTAAAGAAAAATGAGGGTCTCTCTTTTAGATGGTCATTCAGTGCCTTCCAAAGTCTAACCTCTGAGCTCCACTTCCACACCTTTGGGCCTTTCTGTGTTAGCTTCATTTTTTTCTCTTCACCTGGTATGTTCTTTTACCTGCATCTCTACTTGTAGACATCCTGGTTACCCTCCGTGCCTCTGTGAGGCCTTCCCTGATTGCCCTTGTCATGCTTTATCACTTCTGACTTCCTGCTTCTAGAGCTGCTGGTACAGGCCAGATGGATGTGGCCTTCTCCGGTCTATCTTCCCTCAAAGACTGAACTCCTTGAGGGCAGGAGCCAGGCCATATTTGGATCTGTGTCCTTTGCTATTCAAGCAAAAGGCTTGACAGACAGCTGGTCCTCGATGCCTGTCTCATGAACGAACGATTTAGGATGAGGACTGACATTATCTCTTGTTTCCTTTTAGGGCATTCTTCTTGAGCACCGAGAAAAAGAATTTGGAGACAAAGTAAACCTACTTTCTGTTCTGGAAGCTGCTAAGATGATCAAACCACAGACTTTGGCCTCAGAGAAAAAATGATTGTGTGAAACTGCCCAGCTCAGGGATAACCAGGGACATTCACCTGTGTTCATGGGATGTATTGTTTCCACTCGTGTCCCTAAGGAGTGAGAAACCCATTTATACTCTACTCTCAGTATGGATTATTAATGTATTTTAATATTCTGTTTAGGCCCACTAAGGCAAAATAGCCCCAAAACAAGACTGACAAAAATCTGAAAAACTAATGAGGATTATTAAGCTAAAACCTGGGAAATAGGAGGCTTAAAATTGACTGCCAGGCTGGGTGCAGTGGCTCACACCTGTAATCCCAGCACTTTGGGAGGCCAAGGTGAGCAAGTCACTTGAGGTCGGGAGTTCGAGACCAGCCTGAGCAACATGGCGAAACCCCGTCTCTACTAAAAATACAAAAATCACCCGGGTGTGGTGGCAGGCACCTGTAGTCCCAGCTACCCGGGAGGCTGAGGCAGGAGAATCACTTGAACCTGGGAGGTGGAGGTTGCGGTGAGCTGAGATCACACCACTGTATTCCAGCCTGGGTGACTGAGACTCTAACTAAAAAAAAAAAAAAAAAAAAATTGATTGCTGTGCCTCATTACAAATGCATATGATGTTTGAGTGCTGTTGTTTGAAATTATTTTTCTTTTCGGGTCTTCAAAAATTCAAGAAAAGTTGATGATTGACTTGAAGATTACAAAATTTAAGGTTTTTTGGCATGTGTGTTTTCTATTAATAATTGGTTATATGATGTCAAAGTAATACTTTCATAATAGAATTGACATGCTCTGGGATAGTTTGACAAAGGTAAATTATAAAGTGAAATCTCTTGTTTCATTATCTTCCATTCTAACCTCAGAGATCTGTTTCTCTAGAAAAAATGTCCATCTCTGGCTTTAATAAAATTATGCATCAGAAATCACCTGTATGTATAAGATTTTCTGATAAAACTAATAATTATATTTACCATATAATTGGCTGAAAGTAAAAAAAGTCAGCATTCTCCATGGCTGAGGGGTAAAGTGCCTCGGGGGATTCCTCTGGTTCTAGCTATCTAAGTGGTTTGAAAATGACCAGGAAAAATTCATCCTGTCATTCACGTTAGTAATTTTGCTGTCTTTCCTAGAGGAATGACTTTGGTGTTTAAAATTGGTAGCTGTTTTTCTATTGGTCTTTTAGCCTAATTTGGCAAATCAGAAGAAAGGACATAGAGATGATGAAATATAACTTTATCTTTTTTGTTTGAATTTTGTCGTGTAAGTTTGAGTGACATCATCAAGACCTACCAGGGAGCTCGGCCACAGGGAGTCTACTCAAGGCATCAAACTGGCCCAGGAGTAGAAAGGTGGGGGTGGAAATAGGAAATAGTGTTTACCCAGGGGACTGGCCCAGCCAGGAGGAGAAAGGAATCAGTGTTTACCCAGGAAAGCAAGAATGGATACTGATGTTGGAGGTAAAGCTGGGAAAGTAGGAGAGCATCGGGATTGAGTATGCAGAGTGAGTTAGGGTTGAGTGGTTCGGGACTAAGACCCACTAAGACCATGCCTGCACCTGACTTCATGTAGCAGTGGTTGCATGGGGTATGCATGGGCCCTTAAAGGGCTGGGCTTCTGCAGCATTTGAGGCCATAGCCTTTGGTACTTGCACAGGGTTGGTACCTGTCATCCTTGGGACTCCAGCTACTGATAGGATAACTCAGTACCTAAACTTAGAACTTTAATACCTAAGACACTTGATGGTGAAACAGTTCTCTTGCAACTAAAGAAGAACCTGAGGTCAGGTGTGGTGGCTCACGCCTGTAATCCTAGCACTTTGGGAAGTCGAGGTAGAAGGATCACTTGAGGTCAGGAGTTCGAGACCAGCCTGGCCAGCATGGTGAAACCCCATCTCTACTAAAAATACAAAATATTAGACAGACGGGGTGGTACATGCCTGTAATCCCAGCTACTTGGGAGGCTGAGGCAGGAGAATCGCTTGAACCCAGGAGGCAGAGGTTGCAGTGAGCCGAGATCGTGCCACTGCACTCCAGCTTGGGCAACAAGAGCGAAACTCCATATCAAAAAAAAAAACCTGAGAGGACATTGCACCAATGGAGATGCATCAAGAGAAACATGTTTGGTTTTTTGTGAGCTCTCACCAACTTTTTTCCCCTGGGTCCTCACGTGCAGTGTGGTCTTCTCTTTCTGATTAGCATGTCATTTTGGAAAGAGCACTGGATTGAGTCATGAGGCATAATCAATTTCTAGTTTACCAGTGTGATCTTAAGCAAAGATCTAACTCATTGGCAAAATGGGCGTGATTCCTTCCCATTCAGGGCTGTTTATGATAAGTCACTGAGGGAATGATAAATATTATGACACTGCTTCTCAGACTGTAATGTACATGCACATCACATAAGGACCTTATTAAAATGGAGACTTAAAAAGCTGGACGCTAAAGGCAATAATGACAGATTTTACTCAATAACTACTGCAGAAGGAGAGAGTCCTCAGTATAGAACTGAGCTTAGCTCCAATCTGTGCAGAGGTGATGGAATTTTAAAGAGGGGAGGGAGGAGGTTCAAATAGAACTAGGGAAGTGCAAAATTACAAAAAGCTGGTAAGGAGATTGGTCAATGTGATTCGGCTATCTGTGTCTACTAACTCTCAAATTTATTTATCAAAGTTAGGATCCTAGCCTCCCACAGAGACCAGGAGTCGGCCTTATCATTCCTGATAATTATATGACAAAGGGATGGCTCCCAGAAAAAGTGAGAAACACATTCCTGTGCAGCAGAAGATACATATATCCCCCAAAGGGACAGAAAGGATTTACAATTGTAAATTTTATAAAGTATGTCCTCTAAGAAGAGGGAGGGACTGGGTGCCATGGCTCATGCCTATAATCCCAGCACTTTGGGTGGCCAAGGTGGGTGCATCACCTGAGGTCAGGAGTTCAAGAGCAGCCTGGCCAACATGGTGAAACCCTGTCTCTACTAAAAATACAAAAGTTAGCCTGTTGTGGTGGCGCGCACCTGTAATCCCAGCTACTCGGGTGGCTGAGGCAGGAGAATCGCTTGAACCCAGGAGGCGGAGGGTGCAGTGAGCCGGGATCACGCCACTGCACTTCAGCCTGGGTGACAGAGTGTGACTCCATCTCAAGAAAAACGAGGGAGATTAGAAACCTATGATCAGGCATTGGCTGAAACAAATGGTAAATTCTTTTGGCAGCCTTGAGCTTCCCCAGGCAGGGACCCAAAGGGGCCTGGGTTATCCCTGAGACAGGGCCTTGAGCTGCTAGAAACTATGCTAGTGTTTGTTCAAGTCTCTCCGTGTCCGGGGTGAGCAAAATTGTTTGTGCTGAAAATCAATGATTTGCAGCTCTCAAGATTCCAGTGGGCAGTCTGGGTGGGCCTGAGTTTCTGCTTTTTTTTTTTCTTTATGTACAGGGTCTTGCTCTGTCACCTAGGCTAGAGTGTAATTAGTGGCCCCAGTCATGGCTCACTGCAGCTGCAAACTGGCTGCAAGCTGTTCTGGCTCAGCCTACCAAGTTACTGGGCTTACAGGTGGATGCCACCGTACCCAACAGATTTTATTTTTGTAGGGATGGGGGTCTCCCTGTATTGCCCAGGCTGGTCTCAAACTCCTGGCCTCCCAAAGTGTTTAGATTACAGGTGTAAGCCACCACACGTGGCCAGCCTCTGCATTTCTAACAGGTTCCAGGTGATCTTGATGTTCTGCTGGTCCATGGGTCACACTTTGAGAAGCATGGTTCTAAAGGACTATACAGATTAAAGTCATTAATCTCTGTGGGCTTTGGACTTGAAGTTTCAGCAGCCTTTGACAAGCATTTGCAGGTTTCCTTTTTATTTATTTGATAAACTGAGAATCCACATGCAAAGAAATGCAAGAAAATTCAAAGAACGTAAGAAAATGTCCTTGCTGTAAAGCTGGTGGTTCTCAATCTCGGATACACAGTAGAATCACCTGGTGCGGGGGTTGGGGGCGGGGTGCAGTGTAAAAATTATTAAATCAGAATCTCTGGGGTAGGCCCCAAGCAACTTTTTTTTTTTTTTTTTTAGATAGAATCTTGCTTGTCACCTAGGCTAGAGTGCAGTAATGCAATCATGGCTCACTGCTGCCTTAACTTCTGGGCTCAAGTGATATCCTCCCACCTCAGCCTCCCTAGTAGCTGGGACTACAGGCGTGGACTACCACACCCAACAAATTTTTAAATTTTTTGTAGAGGCAAGCTCTTATACTATCTTGCACAGGCTGGTCTCGAACTCCTGGGCTCAAGCAGTCATCCTGCCTCAGCCTTCCAAAGCTCAGGGATTACAGACATGAGCCACAGCACCAGGCCAACAATATTTCTTAAAGCTCCTGGAGTGATTCCAATATGCAGCCAAGGTTGAAAACCACCCTTTAAAAGGCTCGGCATCCAGTGTGGAAGACCAGCACACTCACGTCAGGAGACCTTACCTGGAGCCAGGATGCCCCTGATCATCTCTGATAACTTTAAAAGGAAGGCCTCAGAAGCAGCCCCAGAAGCAAAAGTTTCTCTCTGACCTTCTCCTGCCCTCTTGTTTCTGGCTTTTCATTCTCCCCCAAGGCTACCCATAGAAACTAGAATCCCTCTTCCCCAAGGCAGGTCATCAGAAACCAGAACCGGTTTTACCCAAAGCCAGCCATAAAACCTAAAAATAGTCCTCTCACTCCCCATTCCCCTTTCTGTGTAAAAACTGGTTGGAAAGAAATGATCTGACCTACCGTGTTTGACTGTCGTAAGATACCCATTCCAGAGAGGGTCCCACCCCGTGCCCAGAAGGAAGGAATCCTGCACAGAGAGGCCAAGAAGAATCTAGACAGCCTTGCTGGGTTTCCCCTCTCAGTCTATTACTATTAGATCATACCCTTCTTGTCCAATCATATTTCTACACAGTCCATAATCTGTTGAACCTAAACATAAAAATGGACAATTCCCCTGTATCTTGGGGTCTTCATTCTGAGGGCTCACATACAATTATGATCAAATAAATTTGTTTGCTTTTTCTCCTGTTAATTTGCCTCTTGTCAGTGATTTTTTCAGCAAGTCTGCAGCGGGTGAAGGGCGAGTTTTTCCTTGGCCCTAGCAGTGGCAAGGGTCACAGATGGTGTGGACAGGGGTGCATGGGGAACCCCCAGCTGGAGGAACTTCCAAGGCAGAGATTTGGATAGCGAAGCATGGCTAGGGGAAAACGGAGGAGTCTAGTCTGTTTTGTTTACCTGGTTCTATGTCCTCTCTCCCAGTATGCAGATTTCTCAAAAGCAATGCCTGTGTCTGCTTCCTCTCTTTCCCAGAGCAAAGCATACCATTGCAGTGTAGGGGAGTGGAGGGCAGGGAAGGTGAGCTGTGGGGAAGAGGCTGTAGGGGCTGTGAGGATAGAGGGTGGATGCAGTCAGGGCAGACTGCAGTTTCTTCCCAGCACTAGCTGCCCTCCCTCCATTCTGGGTTGCCAGTGCCCCATGGGGCAAGCAAGAAGGTGTGTATTTGTCAGTTTATGTTTGGGAGGGGAAGGGAAAGAAAGTTGATTTGTTCTCATTTAACCCTTCAAATCCTTTCTACATTTAAAGGAGGATTTGTCATTTTGTTTTGAAGACAGTAACAATTGAGGATGATAGTGGGTTAGATCCCTGGATTAGGGAGGTGTGGGGAGGTCCTTTCAAGGACATGCTTCTTCCAGCTGTACCTGGTCACCTTTCTGTATTATATAATGATGGTCAAGGTCAACCCACACACTAGTTATTGCAGTAGGGGATAGGAGGCAATTCTAAATTTTACTGGGAGCGATGGGAATTCGTTTAGAGGGTTTTTAGAAGAGTGACATGATCTGATTTCTATTATTCTGGCTGCTTTGAGAGAATAGATTTTAGAGGATCAAAGGTGGCAGCAGGGAGCCCATTTGGGAGGCTGGTGCAATGATCCAGGCAAGAGAGAATGGTGGTGGCAACCAGGTGGGAGCACAGAAGATAGTGAGAAGCGTCATGATGGATATATTTGAAGGCAGAGCTAAGAGGATTCTTTAACTGTTGGATGTAGGATGTGACAGAAAGAGGAGCTAAGAGGATTCTTGAACTATTTGGATATAGGATGTAAGAAAAAGAGCAGTCAGGGTTACCTTCATGATTTTTCTCCTGGACAACTAACTGCTCATGAATTTTTGATCATTTTACAGCAGAAAATGATGGGGTAGTAGAAGGTTTTACTGTGCTATAATAGTTACAATGAATGAATGAGAGGTATAAGTATCAACTTGGATGCACCGAAACAAGGAAGGAAAAAAGCTTCAGAATGTACATTCAGTAGGATACAGTTTACATAAATGTGTAAGGCTTGCAAACAGTATTGTGTAAGCTCCATATATAGATGGTAAAAGTGTAAAGACAAATACAGAATAATTACAGTCAGGGTTGAGCCCCATCTGCGAGCCTCACACTAAACAAAACAAAACGAAAAGAAAAAACATGCCATTGCTCAGTCCAGATCCTAGTCCAGTTAAACCAGAATCTCTGGGGCTGGATCGATCCAGGCATCAGTATGTTTTAGAGCTCCCTAGGGGATTCTAGTATGTAGGCAAGGTGGAAGACCACTGCCTTACCTTGACAAACAATTGTGAAATCTTTTAAGAAGCAGAGGAATTTTCCCCTTTCGTGCCAAGTAGTCGTCCATGTCTGTTCTGAAGTTAGTTAAGAGACACCCATGCCCTAATTTCCATGGTGTTCAGCCAGGAAACATGAATAAAGTCTCTCAAGAGACAGCTGAGCCCAGAACATGGTCTTCCAATATCAGTTTCTGCTAAAGGGAACTCCTTGGGGAAATGGCTGATTGCAGGGTTGGGGCAGAAAATGTACAAGATGAGCCTGTAACATCTTGTTGTACCAGATACCAAGCAAGCTCTCAATCACCACTAAGGGCTTGTATAAAGGACAGACTCAGGAGACAACTCTCACTTGCCAAAGATGGGACTCTTTGAGCATCAATAAGAATAATGGCAATGAATTAAAACACATCAGATGTTCAAATCAATGAGTTCATAATGATCCTTTAAAAAAAGAAAATCTCTGGATGATGCTAAGAAAGCAACTCATTTGAAACCTGGTAAAGAAAGACAAGCATTTATCCTGCCTTTGTTACTTGAAAGTTACCGAAGACTTGATGATGGAAGTTTCTCATTGCAGAAGCACTCGTTAAGGCCCAGGTCCAGCCATAATTAGAGTGAGAGTTGCCAAGGGGTGGCCAGTGGGAGATACCTGAGTCCCCGAAAATGCCTCTCTCAGTCTGTCCACAGGGCAGCTCCTTGCAGAGCTTTGTTCCAGCAGAAGATGCCTCTAATTGCACTCTTCATCCAACAAGATGTGCTGGTCCCACTTGCTACACTAAATGCTCTCCCAGCACAGTCTGAGTCAGTCAAAATTCTTGATCTTGGGGCCGGGCACGGTGGCTCATGCCTGTAATCCCATCACTTTGGGAGGCTGAGGCAGGTGGATCACTTGAGGCCAAGAGTCTGAGACCAGCCTGGCCAACATGATGAAACCTTGTCTCTACTAAAAATACAAAAATTAGCCGGGCATGGTGGTGCGCACCTGTAGTCCCAGCTACTCAGGAGGCTGAGGTAGGAGAATCGCTTGAATCCAGGAGGTGGAGGTTGCAGTGAGCCGAGATCATGCTACTGCACTCCAGCCTGGCCAACAGAGCGAGACTCTGTCTCACAACAAAAACAAACACACAAAAGAAACAAACGTTGGAAAGGATGTGGAGAAAAGGGAACCCTTACACACTGTTGGCAGGAATGTAAATTAGTACAGCCATTATGGAAGACAGTATAGAGTTCCTTAATATAGAGTTCTTATATGATCCAGCAATCCCACTACTGGGTATTTACCCAAAGGAAATGAAACCAGTATGTTGAAGAGATACCTGCATGCTCACGTTCTTTGCAGCACATTATTCACAATAGCCAAGATAAGTATACATCAATGGATGAATGGATAAAGAAAATGTGGCATATGTACACAAAGGAGTACTTTTCAGCTTTTAAAAAGAAGGAAATCTAACACTGGGTGTGTTAGTGCACATGTAGTTCCAGCTACCCAGGAGGCTGAGATGGGAGGATTGCTGGAGCCCAAGAGTTTGAGACCAGCTTGGGCAACATAGCCACACCCCATCTTTAAAAAATAATAAAATAAGGAAATTCTGTCATTTGTGACAACATGGGTGAACCTGGAGGCCATACGTTAAGTGAGATCATGCAGTATCTGTCTTTCTGTGCCTGGCTTCACTTATTTGTGGAATTTTTTTTTTTTTTTTTTCAAAAATTGAACCCATAGGCCAGGCGCGGTGGCCCATGCCTGTAATCCCAGCACTTTGGGAGGCTGAGGCGGGTGGATCACCTGAGGTCAAGAGTTCGAGACCAGCCTGGCCAACATGGTGAAACCCATCTCTTTTGTATTTTTGTACTAAAAATAGAAAAATTAGCCAGGCTTGGTGGCGGGCACCTGTAATCCCAGCTGCTTGGGAGGCTGAGGTGGGAGAATTGCTTGAACCTGGGAGGTGGAAGTTGCAGTGAGCCAAGACCACACCATTACACTCCAGCCTGGGCGACAGAGTGAGGCTCCATCTCAAAAAAAAAAAAAAAAAAAAAAAAAGGAACCCATAAAAGCAGAGAGTAGAATGCTAGTGGATGGTGAAATTCTGCACATTAGATGGGCTGGGGGTGCCATTGGATATCACCCCTGGAAATGAGATGCACCACTGGGCTAGCAGCCTAAAGCTATACACCAGGCTGACTAGGGAGCCTGCCAGGAGGTGTAACTGACTCTGGGTTCATGTTCTTTATGAGCTCTTTGGTACCTACCTAGGAGTCAGTGCTCATAAAAGAATGATAAGAAATCTGTCCCTGACCATGGCAGATGTTGCCTCCTTCACAGCCACTGTTTTGGCAGCCCTGCAGACATCCTTCATTTCTCTTGGGAAGATTGTTTTACATACCAATATTGCTCTAGACTTTCTTTTAGCCCAAGTGGGAGGAGTGTGTGCAATTGTTAACACCTCCTGCTGTACCTGGATAAGCACATCAGATTTCATAGAAACACAAGTAGGCTGGGCGCGGTGGCTCACACCTGTAATCCTAGCACTTTGGGAGGCCAAGGTGGACGGATCACCTTTGGTCAGGAGTTAGAGACCAACCTGGCCAACATGGTGAAACCCCATCTCTACTAAAAATACAAAAATTAGCCAGGCATGGTGGTAGGTGCCTGTAATCCCAGTTACTCAGGAGGCTGAGGTGGGAGAATTGCTTGAACCGCGGGCGGTGGAGGTTGCAGTGAGCAGTGAGCCAAGATTGTGCCATTGCACTCCAGCCTGGGCGACAAGAGCAAAACTCCATCTCAAAAACAAAAAAAAAAAAAAAGGAAAGAAAAGACACACAAGTAGAAGAAATTCAGGAGCAGACCCTCACAAGCAGAAAAAATTCAGGAGCAGGCCCACTGGCTGCAGACAGTGGGGCCACCTGAAGGATCCTTCTTAGACTTCCATAGCGACTTCTTAACTGGATCGCTGTGTCCAAGGCTAGGTCATGCTCCAGGCAGCCCTGGTTATTCTGCAGTTGTAGGGGTCCTCCTGGGCCTCGTGAAATGGATTCTGGCTATGGCTTAATGATGTCTCACTGGGATTGTGTCAGTTAAAGTGTTCTCGAACTAATGAGACAGACCAAACCCCTGCCTCCAAATCCAGGGAGGTTGGTGGGATATGAAATTGACCAGCTTCGCTAAGGGGGATATCTGGGTTTCGGATGGACTACAGAGCAGTTCTCCAGATGGCCTTGGACTGACCCAGTTCTCCCAGCTTTCTCACTGTAGTTCTCAAGAATAACTGTAGAATGTGCTGGGAATGCAATAGCCTGAGGTCAGGAGGAACTGGCCAGAACAGCCTGGGCTTGTTCCTGTCCCTGCTATGAAAGAATGCCCTTCAGGCCCGGAGAGGCGGCTCACGCCTATAATCCCAGCACTTTGGGAGGCCAAGGGGCAGATCACCCGAGGTCAAGAGTTCAAGACCAGTTGGCCAACATGGTGAAACCCTATCTCTACTAAAAATACAAAAATTAGCCAAGCGTGGTGGCGCACACCTGTAATCCCAGCTACTTGGGAGGCTGAGGCAGGAGAATCACTTTAACCCGGGAGGCGGAGGCTGCAGTGAACTAAGATTGTGCCACTGTGCTCCAGCCTGGGTGACAGAGCAAGACTCCTCAAAAAACAAAAGAAAACAAAACAAAAGATGATGACGAAGAAGAAAGAATGGATTTGGGGAAAAAAACAAAAACCAGCAGTGTCTGCCATAATATATTTATGAGAAAATACATGAAAACTTGTAACAGTATTTGCTCTAGGAACAGGATACTGGTGATTGGGGACATAAAGGAGAATGTCCCTTTTAATACCCTTTTGAACTTTTATAATCTGTTCCATATGAGTATATTAACTAATCACACACTTTTAACAGAGTAATAAAAATGCACCATACTGCGTGCTTGGTAAACCTCTCTAGCTAGTTCACTGACAAGAAGTTTTGTGCCCTCACCCTTAGCCCCTCAGAGAGGGCTATTTGTGTTGTGAAACTCAGGCCACATAGAACTGTAAGAAATCCATTTGATTCAAGGAGCATAGGAAATCTCATGGGCCTGTATGGGCAGGAGCCTGGAAAGGGACACAAATCCAGCTAAGTGTCCTGGGGGGTGCCAATCTTCCTGAGCCAGTGGACCCAGCTGTTATTGGCCCTCCCTTGTGCCCTTCATGACTGTGCTAGGCTTCCTCAGGGGGAGAGAAGGCCAGTTCTGCTGCTAAGCTCTCACCCCAGCACTGCTTATACACAGAGGCAGGAGGAGGCCAGATGCCTCTGGCCAGGAGGGGCTAGGGTGTGGAGCCTGGGGGCCAAAGCACAGCCAGCTCCTGGGAAAGCGGGTGCTGCTTGAAGCAGGAAGTCTTTAAAGTCTCTGCCATGCAGAGCTCTGGGCTGCCCTTATCGGACTCTCATCTTTCCCCAGCCTTCATGACTCAAGAGAGCCAAATTTATGAACCTCGTCATTCTTCAGTTGATGATAATTTTTAGAAAGTAGATTTTCCTTGAGCATTTAAACATTAAATGTAATCAGTTACACTCTTCCCAACTGTAATGACTCAGTCTCATAAATGTTTAAAACGCCTTTAAAAATTGACAAATAATAATATAATCATTACAAAACTGGATCTGTATATGCATACTAAAACCAGTTACAAATGCTAATATGTGGTTCTAAATTTGCTTCTTTATTATTTGCAGTTAGCAGCCTTAGCAGCAGGTGGCAAGACATTATGTGCCCAGATGTTGCTGTCCCATCCTGGGGACCTCAGAGTTGGCCATGCCACACCTTCCATTGGAGGCACCCAGACTCTCCACGGTCTGCACCACAAACCCCGGTCCTGGGCACATCGACTGGACCGGGGTGGACCCTGGACCCTAACTCAGGCCTCTGTGAACTAGCCAGGGACCTGTAAAACCTGTACAAAGTTTTTCCCCAGAAGGGGCGCAGATGGTGACAGCTGACCGGCAGAAGGCAGGGAGGAGCCCTGAGGGGAAGCTGGCCAGAAGTTGCTGGCACTGTGGAGATAAATGAGATACCAATGTCTCAGTGAGAATAGAGAGTGGGTGACGTGGAGGCAGTACTAGATCCTGACCTCTGCTGGCCAGTTCTCCTAAGGGCCTGGCTGCAAGGTTGTGCTGGGTGGCTTTCTACTTCCTGTGCTCAGACAGGCAAAGGAAAATAACTCAAAAGCTGTTCTAAGCCAAAGTGATGGCATGTGCCAAGTGCACAGGAAATAGAAGCTGGTCCAGAAATGTGTATGCAAGAAGTGAGGGGAGCAGGACTGAGTGGAGGGCGACATGGAGCTGTGAGGCCTCAACTGATCCCACAGGAGCTCTGAGTTGAGATCACCCAGCAGATGCCCCGAAATGAGACAAGGGGCTTTGTAACTCCCACCCATCACTCGTTTAGTGGACATAGGCTGCACCCTGCACCAGGGATGGGGGTGGGGCAGAGCCCTGGTGGGGGGCAGCTTCCTTCTGCCAGGGGCAATTCCAAGTGAGTGATCTAATCTAACACAGTGGGTCCTGAAGTGTGGTCTAGGTGGTCACAAACCAGAGGTGACAGGCTAGGTCACTGTGTGTGAGGCAGGCCTGTGGTCAGAATATGGTTGGAGCAGCCCACTCAGAGGCCAGGCCTGGTTAATCCCTGTAGAACAATGGAAGGAGCTGTGTTCATGAAATGAACCTCTAAGGGTTTGCAGGAGGAGGACTGATGGGATCAGATTTTCTTTCTAGTGTGAGGGAGGGGGAACCGGAGCTCAGGAGAGGGATCTGGCCACAAAGATGGGTGGGGGCGGTGCACAGAGGATTCTAAAGACACAGAGTGGCACAGAGGGCAGAGAGCCTGTGGAGATGAGAGGGGGAAGAAAATGGTGTTAGATGTTCCCAGCATCTGGGAAAAGTAGCATTTGTAGGAAATGGGGAGCAGGATCTGCAAAGAGACTGAGGAGGAGCTGCGTGCAGGACACGTGGTCCCGAGTGGGTAGAGGAAGAGAGCCAAGGGCTCCAGGAAAGAGAGAATCAGCAGTGCCAGACAAGGACTGAAAAGCCCTCCCTTCCTCCCCCAACACACAGAAAGACAGACTGACACACACGCACACACACACACACACCCGTGGTTTAATAAACTTGGAGTTTCCTCAGACTGCCTCTAGGTGGCAGTGTATGCACGCGGCATCAACTGCTGCGCAGCTCTCCCCGGGGACTACCAGATTCTCCATGGAACCAACTAAAACTCCCCAAAGCTGTGTGACAGGGACAGGGAGAGGTACCTGTGATGTTTGCAACATCCATCTGTTTTCTGCTCTGTCTCAGATGAGTCTAGGTGTGCCTCTCTCCCCTACTTTGTAGTGGTAGGGGGAACTTTCAGTGGCTCTCCTAGCAGTGTCTGCGCCTAGAGGTCCCAGGGCCTTAGCCGACCCTCAAATCTCTAGGTGTGAGATTGAGACAGACTGGGGACTCAGGTGTGGTCATAAAGCTGACAGTCCTGCTTCTACCACTTATCAGCTAGGTGATTCCCTCTGAGCCCCCTTTCCACATTTATGTTACTAAGTCAGAGCTTTGTGAAGGTCAGTTTGCATGACATTATTCCAGAAGTAACACTCTGTGCTGTCAAGTGGCTTTGACATCTGCACAGATCCCATAGTTCCCTGGGTAGACATGAGCAGCTCTCCGGCCTGAGTGGACCTAGCTTTCAGGGGCAGAGTTGGGACTTAGCCCGTGCAGTCCGATTCCTGGTATTATACTTGCTCTTAACATCTAGGATCTGCTCCCTCCCTTGATGTCTTATTTGGCCACATCTGGGGTTTTCTTCTTTGGCAAAACTTTCTTCTCCCATGTGGAGTCATTACAGTGTGGTTGATGCACAGGGCTGAAAGGGCCGTGGGATGTCACCTGTTGAACAACCTTTCTTTCTCTGCCACCTTCAGTTTATGAAATGGAACAACTGAGGGCAGAGAGATGACAGGACTCCTTGTCACCACCATCTGCTTAGACAGTCTCAGATGCTATAATTAAAGGGTGTTCCACTGTGTCTTATCCTCACACATGGGCTCCTATCACAAATCTTAGTCCTAATTCTTTGCAGGGGACGCCACTGGCAGGCAGAGGTCCCATGGCTGAGGCTGTAGATGCAAATAAGAGTAGAAACCTCCTAGAAGTTTGCAGATTCCTTAAAATAGATTGTTCTGGAACAAATAGGCCAAGTATAGAATGACAGGCCAAGAAATAAATTTCCTTTCTGTTCTCTTTTCCCCAAGGCTCCCTAACCTCTTTCTTCAAGAAAGGCAACACCAGTGCAAAACTGACCTTGAAGTAAAAGTTCTACCAAAGATGTTGGCGCCTAACCCATTGCCATTGCCTGCACTCCAAGTCCTGCCATATACTGATGGAGTGACCCATCTTCCCACTAGCCTCT